>NC_000010.11:81961277-82112792 GCF_000001405.40 Homo sapiens
GTAAATATTAAAATTTGATACTCTGGCTTTGTGGATATGGTTTCATGATGTACAACCACTGTTTCTAGGCAGCCCACTCCCCAGTATCACATTGTAGACACCTTGAGGACAGGGAGATCTTCTAAATCTGCTTCATCTCTTTACTTCCCAAGACACCGTGACCAGGCTCTAGCATAGAATATTTGTTTGCTGAATAAAGGAATTAATGAACTAATGAACTAATGAACTAATACTACTTTGCACTTCACACATCTCTCAATTTCCTTTATTTTTGTATTCATTTCTAGAATCATACAGTGTAAACTTTAGGTAACAATATAGAGATAACACTTTTCCCATCCTGTGCAATGGCATTTTGCCACTAGCAGGATGCAGGAGACAATTGGAAAGGAAACAGCTTTAACTGTGTCCATTTTGGCCAGCTGTTCTTTGTAAAAGGTCTGTGATAAAATTTGATATAATTCAGCACATTTTGCATTAGTTAGATATTAATGTTAACTGATAACTTTTGCTCCTGTTAGTATAGAAGGAGTTTATTCTCTATGAACTTGTCCCACAAGAAGCACTGTCAACTCAGAAGGCAGTAGCCGACGTTTTTGGTATTTGCTCCAGGTTCCTTTTCAGAAAAGGTCATTGTTGGATAGAAAGGCAGCATGCTTTGGTGGCTCTACCAAGTGGAGTCTATGAATCATCACCTGGAACTATGTTAGGAATACAAATTCAGTGATGCCCTTCAGCCCTATTAAGCCAAAAACTCTGTGTAGGACCAAATAGTCAGTTTTAACAGCCTGATCATGTGATTCTGATGAGCACTAAAGGTTGAGAACCTTGACTCTGTGGAAAAAAAGCCAGGATCTGAATTGGGCAGAACTGAATCAGAATTTTAGCTCAGCCATGTATTGTATGGCTTCAGCCATGTTAAAGAAATCTCAGCCTTGGTTTCTTTATCTATAAATTGTGGAGCTTAATACCCACTTCATTGGTTATTAAATGAACTATAAAATATCACACTGGGCCTGCCAGTAGAAGCCAGTCAACACATTTAGGGTTGTAATTTCCTTTCCTCTTGCTACCACCATTGCATGAAATCTAAAGTAGAAATAGTAGTTTTTAATCCTTTAGATATGTTATTATGTATGATAGTAATGTATAGGGTTTCTATACCCTGAGCTTTGGAGTTGACACTTTTCTGACAAAAGAATGTGATTTACTTATGTATTTTAGCTGATAAATCCTAGATAGAAATGTATGTTCCCGTCTCCCTAAACATAGTAGCTGTCTGTAATCCCATGTGAGTCAGAGATGTTCCAGTTATTGACTGCTGCATAACATTCTACCCCAAAACTTACTAAACAACTATTTAGCTTTGCTCATGAGTTTGCAGGTAAGAAATGCAGGGAAAGCTTGGCTAGCGGAGTAGTCTCTGATCAGTGTGTTCTTGGCTAGGGTGGCAGGGGCTAGAGGTTCCCCTCCAAGATGGCTCCTCCAGTCACATGTCCAACCTCCTTGGAGCTGGTCTTGCTCTCACATGGCATCCCATCCTCCAGGGTCTGTCCTCTTGTTTTAGGATTTCCACAGTATGGTGGTCAGGGAAAATGCACTTCCTGCATAGTGATTGGCTTTCACGAGGTAGGTAGTGGAAGCTGCCAGGCCAGTTAAGACCTCTGCTTATAACCGACACAACTCGCCCTGTTGCTCAGAGCAGTCACACAGCCTGCTCAGAGTCAAGGGAGAGAAGAAATAGATTCTGTCTCTCGTTGGGTGAGTGACAAGTCACAATGCAAACAAATGTGTGGGATGGGAGATGTTCTGCTCATCTTTGGAAAATATGATCTGCCACGAGGGCTCTTTTTTTTTTTTTTTTTTTTTTTTTTGAGACGGAGTCTCGCTCTGTCGCCCAGGCTGGAGTGCAGTGGCGGGATCTCGGCTCACTGCAAGCTCCGCCTCCCGGGTTCACGCCATTCTCCTGCCTCAGCCTCCCAAGTAGCTGGGACTACAGGCGCCCGCCACTACGCCCGGCTAATTTTTTGTATTTTTAGTAGAGACGGGGTTTCACCGTTTTAGCCGGGATGGTCTCGATCTCCTGACCTCGTGATCCGCCCGCCTCGGCCTCCCAAAGTGCTGGGATTACAGGCGTGAGCCACCGCGCCCGGCCCACGAGGGCTCTTTAGTAGGGAATAGTATGTTGTTCTTTGTATGCAGCTGTTACCAAAAATGCTTAAAATAGATTGAATTTAACGATTACACCTAAACATACATACATGTATTTTAATTACGTTTGTTGTCTAAGTTTTGCCTTTTAATCCTTAGCAATGTAATTTGAGTCAAGTCAGGTGAGTTGTTAGTGTGAGAGTGAGCTGTCATGTCATCCATCCACGTCCCCGCTTGGACTGTTTTACACGACGGGACACACGTCCACTTTCATGATGCAGTGCTAAGGGTTGCTCTGTCAATGTAAAAGCTGTGTCCGAGCCTCAGGGCATGTAACCTTACAGCTCCGTGGTGGAGTTACATGCTTTGTTGCTGAAGGAAGGAATGTTTTCATTAGTTTTCTTTATTTTTGTTCCCTCAGTGGGATGTTATTAGTCATGTAGAGGCAGAATTTCTGTCCTCCTCCACCTCCAACCAGGAAGTATTAATCACTGTTTCATCTGTGTTTTCGTAGCATTTGGGTTATTATATTATTGTTTTTTGCTGATTATTTTAATCGTACAAAAAATACATGAGTACATTCTGTTTATAAAATTTCAAGCAATAAAAATAAAATAAGTGTTCACATTAATCTGCATCCATTTTCCCATGCTAATCCCTTCCCAGAGATAAGCAATGTTATCAATTTTGTGTACGACCCTCCAGACATATTCTCTGCATCAAGATATACACAGATATGTGAACATGTATAATTTACTCCAATGGAATCATATTCTATATATTGTGGTTTCCTTTATTCATTTAACCGTATTGAGTTGGAGAAATTTATATGTAGAATAACTTTATTCTTTTTTTAAAAAACAGCTGCATAGAAGGAGAATCACTTGAACCCGGGAGGCGGAGAATGCAGTGAGCCAAGATTGCATCGCTGCACTCCAGCTTGGGCAACAGAGTGAGACTCTGTCTCAAAAAAAAAAAAAAAAAAAAAAAGAAGAATATTAGAAAATTACAAAAAAATTCAATAAAAACATCTGCAACAAATTCCATCTCATGACCGTACAGTAGTGAATTTAACTCTTCCCCTACAGATGAACGTTGAGATTGTTTCCAGATTTTCACTGAATACAATACCCTAGTAAAAATTTCTGACATTGTTCTTTGTGCACCTGGGTGAGTATGTGACCCTGTGTCTAGAATGGAATACTGGATCAGACAGTGTGCATGCCCTTATCAAAGATACTACTGCCAGACTGTCTTCCAGGAAGGCCATTCCACAGAGAGTCAACCCCCTACCACACGGCCTCATCAATGATGGCTTTTTTTAATCTTTTCTGAGTTTTGCATATTTGATAGGAGAAACAGATATATCCAGTTGTTGTCTTTCCATTTCCATGTTCATTAATTAGGTGTCCCATATTTTTCCGTGCTTATTGAGCATTTGTATTTCATCTTCTGTGACTATGTTTTGTTCATTTTATTATGGATACCATAGAAGTGTATATGTTTTCTTGAAACTTCATTTTGTTCCATTGATAATTATTTTATTCTTGGGCCCAAACATATTAAAATGTAACATTTACCCATTTAATATTAATTTAATACAAAATATATACCAAGCATCATTGGGCATTAGAACATTACAAATACAAGGGTAAAGAAAACAGACAACCAGCTGTGTTCCTGACGAATTTCCGGAAAGTGCTGAAGTATTAAAGGTCCATCCTAGGCCATACCTACATGGGTGACCCTGGCACAGGCCTGAGTTTTTGCTGGTGGCTCTGGTTATAGTATATTTTGATATCTGGTAAGATATCTGAGAAAAATTTCTGTCTCTCTCTGTCATCTATCAATGAATTCTTCCATCTTTCTATCTACTACTTATTAGATGTGGGGACTTAGACAAATTCTTATCAGATGTGTAATATAGATCCAGGCCATCTGGCTTCAGAGTTTATATTCTTTCTTTTGTAGATTTAATAGAGTTTATATTTTTTCTTTTGTAGATTTAATATAAAATTGTAAATTTTAGAACTTGTCAAATTTCATAGAAAAGTCATTTGGGACTTTGATAGGCACAGTGGGGTGTGTAATAATGTATTAAATATTTTTATGATACTGAGTTATCCCACTTAGTACCATTGTAGACCTTCATTAAATCATCTATGATTTTATGTCATTTCCATAATTTTGTCCTTGCTCATTATTAGATTTATCCTCAGATATTTTACAATTTTGTGCTGATACAAATGGGATCTTAATAGCATTATCTAACTCCTTTATAGTGTAATGGAAAGTGTGAATTTTTTGTATGTTGACCTTGAATCTGTATATTTTGATGATTTGTTGGTGTGTGTCCTAAGAGTTGTGAGTTGATAGTCTTTGATATTCTAAGACAAAAATAAAGACAGTTTTGTTTCTTTCTTCTAATCTTCCTAACTCTTATTTCTTATTTCTAAATTATTATTATTATTTGGTGTATGTATTCAGGACAGTATTGAATAAGATAAGATGATGGGGAAATCCTTGTATTGTTTTGAACATTAATGGAAATGCTGACTTTTTTCTGAACATTTAGTATAATGTATACTTTACCTTGGTGATGGATAACTTTTATCAATTTAAGTAGTTTTTTCATGCTTTTTCTTGTACTAAGAGCTTTTAATAAGGAATTGAGTTTGAATTTTATAAATGTTTTTCAACACATTCAAAGGTAATTTACTTTTTATATCAATTAATGAATTGATTTACATTAATATACAGCTAAATGTTGAACTCTTTATCCCTGAATTTCTGATAAAAGCTCTACCTTGTCATAATATGTTCTTTTAATATGCTACTAAATTTTTAATAAATTTATTTTTATATAAATGTAATATGTGTATATATATAAAATATGATATTATGTATATATAATATAACCTTTTTCTAATGAGTAAAAATGGCCCACCTTTCACTGCCTTATCCTCTTGTTTCTGGTTTTAGTATCAGGGTTAACTGGCTCTGTCAGATGAGTTGATTTTTCTTATATTTTCTGTTCTTCTATTTATTTATTTATATTTTTTGTAGAAATGGGAGTCTTGCTTTGTTGCCCAGGCTGGTCTTGAACTCTTGGGCTCAAGCAGTCCTACCACCTTGGACTCCAAAAGTGCTGGGATTACAGGTGTGAGTCATTACTCCTTTCTATTTTCTACCTTTGGAAACAGATTTCCTAATATAAGAATGATCAAGACATGAAGTCTGATAGGGTCTACCTGTACATCAGTGCAGGCTTGATTTCTTCAAGTCATCTTACTAGTATACCAACTTTCTCAGTGGTTATTTTACTGTTTAGATAATTCTCTTTGACCCAGTTTTGGCCATGTAGCTTTTCCTAGGAAATTAGTCCTATCTTTTAGATCATTAGTTGTATGAAATTTTTTATACTGCAAGTAATAGTTTAATAAAATCATATATGTGACATCATTAATAAATACAAATTTTATCTATAGCTTTGTCCTTTTTCATGCTATTTGTTTTATATTTGTTCTCTCTCTTTATTGCTTTTAATAGGAGATAGGTTATGAAATTAATTGAGCATGTTTGTCTTTTCAAGAACATTATTTTAAAAAATTTTCTATTTTATACACTTAAGGTTTTATTTTTTACTAATTATTTATAACTTTATGTTTTGATATATTTATATTTTAATAGGTCCCTAATATTCATTATGTATCATATATTTGTAGCTATAAATTTTCCTTTGAATACAATATCATCTATAATTCATAGGTGTTAAGTTTTATTGCTGATTGTTGTTTTTGTATAAGTAGTTTGTGATTTCCCTGATAATATTTATTTAATCCAAGTTTTTAACAGAAGATTTATCTTAACATTTTTCCCTTGTGTTTTTTATTTTATTATTGTATAGGTTTTTTTTCTTTCATTGTTTATGAATGTTGAATTTTATTTCATAATTGTGAATGGGACTTTTTGTTAACTTTAGAAATATTCTGAGATTTCCTTTGTATTCTGCTACACTGTTATTTTAGGTAATGTTCTATATGTGTTTGAAAAAAGTATGTATTTTCATTGTGGTGGGTGAAAAGTCGTATGCATATTAGATCAAATTATTAATTGCATTAAATATATTCTCTATATTTTTATTTATGCGTGCTTATATAGTCTGTTGATTTCTTAGAAAGTTAGATTATCCAACTGTAAGAGTGAGTGTGCCAATTTCCTTTCATATTCTTGATTTTTTTCCCATTTATGTGTTTGGAAGCTAAATTTTTAGTTCCATAAAAGTTAATGTCTTTCATAGTGTTTGGGTAGAAGAATTTTCCATGTTGTTTAAATGGAATAGCTTTCTTTGTCTTCATTTCCTATTCTTTCTACAATTTCTGAGCCATTTTATATGTCTCTTTTGACTGCATATGGCTGTATGCTTAAATTTCCAATCAGAAAGACTTGTTAGGGGAATTGAGACCATCCACAATATTGTGTTTACTAGTGTATTTGGACTTGCTCTTGGCAGCACTCCTTCTTTATTATAGTATGTTTATGGATATGCATATAAATATATTATGCCTGCAATGAACTATGAAGCATTATTGCCTGGCAACATCAACCTTAGTTTTAGTTTTATTTTCCTAGTAGTTTTCTCATTTTGATTAAAAACCACAGAATGTCAGTGGAAAGAGGGGCCCCTGCTCTGTGCCCTGCATTTGGGCAGGCTCTGCTTTTGTTTTGGGCAAGGAGAATAACAAATGCTTGGAGCCTGAGCCACTGCCTCAAGCCTCCTAGGGCCTGGTAGGCCTCTTACAGGATTCTCATTGGCCAAATGCCAATCAGTGAGTGGATGACCATCCTCTTTAGACTCTATTCTCCCCAATAATTAAACTCTGTCCTAATCAATCACTCTAAGGCATGACTGTGGGCAGGGGAGAGTGAAAGTGATGGGCAGAATTTGGACTTGGGACTGGGTGGTCCACTTAGGGGTGTATTACACTACTTGCCACGCAAGTTGAAGCTGAGGGATGAGAGTGAGAAAGTGAGATGTCACCTCCCTTTTTGTTCCTCTTGCACAGCTCTGACGTTGGGGGACTGGGCACCCCTCTTCCAGCTGCCGTGTTTTGGCAGGAACTCTGAGAATGCTTGAACTTAAAACTGGCATTTTGGATCTTTACGTAGTGGTATTTCCAAGTAAGAGGAATAGAGCATACTTTATTTAACAACTTTGATGTCCTGACTTACTACTTTTAAACACTAAGATTTATGTGGGCTTCCATTGTTACTCTTACCTCAGGCCACAGACGTCATAGAAGAGCTTGGAAAAAGTTAAATTCTTGGGGAGAATAGAATAGAATCTAAAGAGGGTGATTTTTGACTCCAGCATCTCTCAGGTTTCTGTTTACCCACCTGCACCTTCTCTTCTGGTTCTGAGGCAGGTGCTTATCTCTTTGGAGATGTGCTGAGGCAGAATCAGATCAACAGCTCTTGCAGAGAAGACGAAGTGAGGCGAGGTTGTTAGGTCTAGAGTGCAGAGGGGCCAGATTAGAGTAGCCCTGGTTGGTGGAAGTATCACAGCTGCAAGGATAACCTGAGTTTCCTGTGGGTTAAGAATAGGTCATGTAAGGTATCTGACTGAAGCCATCTTGCCAGGTCTCCTGTCAACAGTGGAGCATTGTTGAACAGATTATGAGGGGTAAGAGAAGGACATGACCGTGCTTTTGCTGGATCTTCTGTGTCAGGGACCTGAACAAAGTTTTCCTGTCTCCCCTGCCACCACCAGCAGAGCAGTGAAGAGCAACCAATATGTCCTGAGGGAGCTGCTTTTGGAGGCCTGAAACATAGAAGGAACCAATAACCAGCATGTGTTAGAGGAACAAAAACAAAAAAACAAAAAACAAAATAACAGCTGTAAGTAATAAGACCTGCAAATGCAAATCAATGTCTTGTTCCCCCTAAAATCAATAGGTCCCCTGTGCCTTCCGGCACACTCACACACTGACACAACCACATCTGGCTTTCTTACTGGTGTAGACAGGAGGGACGAGCAGGGGGAGCAGAGAGAGAGAGAGGAAACAGGCTTCTTGAGGCATTTCTAGTCTGAGCTGACATTTCATTTTAAAATGGAAAATGATACACAAAAAAATCCAGCGTGACCAGAAAAAATTATAAGCCTGATACTTGTAGTTGACAAGAGTAAGTTACCTTTCCCGTCACCAGTTCACCTGGTGCTGATAATTCAGAAAGCACATATAGTATCAGGTACTAGAAAAAGTAAATCATTCCACATTTGCCTGTTGCTAGGTTGAGGCAACTTAATAATACCTGCTGATTTCTCTCATGTCTGGACATTTTGAGTGTGTGTGTGTGTGTGTGTGTGTGTGTGCACATGCACTTCTGTGTATATCTGTGCATGTATTTACAAAAGTAGAGTCTTGTATTCCAATGCCCGTTTTAACTCAATCTCTTCATACAGATTTCATTCCAACATTTGTCACAAGATATTGCACTATTTTTTTTTAGCTGTCTATCTTTACTGCTAGAAGGAGATTTTTTAGAGGAGACTCCGATTTAAATATTGCTTCTATCATAGTGTAAGACATATAGTAGATTCTCAATAAAAACCTGTTTCTTACATTTAAGCTAGTGATAATGTTTGTACCTATTAAGGGTGCTGAGGCTATTTTCCAAGACCCAGTTGGAAGATACTTTAAAAGTAACTTTTCTAGATCATCTGTTAATACTTCTGTAGCCTTTTACAGGAACAGAGGAAAAGTAAAATAGGCAGTGAGGAAGGAAGTGCTGTTATTTTTGTGCATATAGCATAGTAAATGTGTATGTACCTGGCATTTACTGGTAAATCAACATGTCAGAGAGATGTTATTTGTTACTGGCTCTGTGACTAATTATCCCTCTAGATATAATCAGTGTTAAAGGTAGTGAAGTGCAAAATAATTGCAACAACAAGACCTATGATTCATTTCAACCAGGTTTATAGAGTAAAAGATTCTTTTTCTTAACTTTAGCAGTTTTTTAATTGATTCTGTAATTTTACAATGGCAAAAAGGTAGTTTGCAGTGTAATTCTCTATTATTTCCGTATTGCAAATTCAATCTATGTTAGATATTTGATGCCATGGGTTAGCATTTTTTATTTGCAAATTAAGTATTTTGTGAACCCACCATATGTTGAATGATATGTAGAACAGAGGCATGGAGAAGCCAGAAATATTTGTGTGTGTGTGTGTGGGTGTGTGGTGTGTGGTGTGTGTGAAAAAAATATGCTAGACCAAGGTATGGAGAGTCAGACTTCCAAAACTGCATATCTCATCTGAGTACAATCCTTCTATCCAGGGGAGATTTAGGTTTGGTGGGGCTCAAACCTCATACAATTTAGGAAGCACATTTTAAGAATAACAATACAAAATTAAGAACACAACAGTGGCTGGGCGTGGTGACTCATGCCTGTAATCCCAGCACTTTGGGAGGTCAAGGCGGCTGGATTGCCTGATATCAGGAGTTCGAGTCCAGCCTGGCCAACATGGTGAAACCCTGTCTCTACTAAAGATACAAAAATTAGTTGGGCATGGTGGTGGGCCCCTGTAATTCCAGCCACTTGGTAGGCTGAGATAGGAGAATCGCTTGAACCTGGGAGGCAGAGGTTGCAGTGAGCTGAGATTGTGCCATTGCACTCCAGCCTAGGCAACAAGAGCAAACACTCCGTCTAAAAAGAAAAAAAGAACACAACATTAAGTATTGTGCCTATGCAAGTGAAGAGCCCCGAGGCTTAAGCTTCATGCGCTTCTTTGTAAATATTTCTCTTTTTATATCAAGTCAGATTTGATACTTCTCTCTGTTGGACATGTGGGTATGTAATAGCTTATTAAGGTGAACAGAGGTCTTGGCATATGGGTGGTATAGAAGATGTTGTAAAGGTGAGGACGAATTTCTAAGAGTTGAGATGTAAAGTATTGTTTACCACTGATAAAGACTTGTATTTATAATATGGAAATTTAGAAAACAGAGTGAAAATATCTATTATTTAATAAGTAATGGAAAAGATCAACTATGATGACAGGGACTTACACTTCTGGCCCAGTTGGAGTAAAAGAGACCTTCTGAATGAGACAGCAAAAAAGTAATAAATGGACAGAATATATGAAGCAAAGGTTTTCAAGATACTGAACATCAGACAGTGAAGTACAGTGATCTTGAGGTAGGAAACAAATGAGGAAAGTCATATGATTGTGCCAGCCTACTGCTTTAAGACAGTTTCCAACGTGTAGCACAGGGAGGAGAACCCAGGTGGAGCCTGGTGATCTTGAAAAGGAGATAAAGCTGAAAACTGCAGGGAGACCATGGTGGCTAGAATGCACAGGACAAAGTACTGGAGAGAAGAGATTTGTCTAGAGAAAAGTCTCAAAAGATCTGTAGGTAGATACATTATGACAGAAGCATAGACATGTGATAGAAGCAATATGTAAAGGGATGCTTTGGGTATTTAGTAGAGGACTGCACAGCACATGCAGGTGAGGAAATTACTAGGTTTTGGAAATAACTACCCAAAATGGTTAGTGGGAACAATACCTGACACTCACACTGGGCCAGGGATAGTGCCTGTTCCTACCTGTCGACTGGAAATTTCATAACCATCAGGACATTGGATAGTACTCAGAGTGTCATGCCTTAGTTGTGGAGACTAATTAGGCATAGACTAACACTGTTTGAATACCACCTCCAAAGTTGTAAAGCAAAAAATAAAGGATATAGATTATTTTCAAGTAATGTAAGTACATTCTATGAAGGAAATTAAAGAATATCTATAGGAATACAAAAGTAAATATCAAGCATCCTACATGGTAAAATTCACAATGCCTAGCACCCAATCAAAACTAACCAAGTATGCAAAAAAGTGGGGAAATATGATCCATATTGAGACAAAACATGCATCAAGAAAAATCCAGAACAGCGATAGCAGACAAGAACGGTAAAATAGTTATTAAGACTACATATCCTATGTTCAAAAATTAAGTACAAAGAAGACATAAAAATATAACCAAGTCAAATGCCTAGAAATGAAAAAATACTGTTTGAAATAAAAAATACACTAGATGAGATTAATGTCAGATTAGAGACTACAAAAAAGTAAGTGAATTGGAAAATAATTATTTAAAATAAAGTAATAGAAACTATCATGAAATAAAACTAATAGAAACTATCATGATGAAACACAGAGAAAAAACAATGAATGGGACATTAGTGATCTGTGGGGCAACTTCAAACATCCTATTATAAGTGTAATTGTAACTCTTAATGAAGAGAGGGAGGACAGAAAAAAATGAATCAATAACGGTTGATTTTTTTCAAGGAGCTCAATGAACCATAAGCACAAGAAATTGGAAGGAAACCACACAAAGGAACATCATAATCAAATTGTTTCAAACCAATGATTTTAATTTAATTGCATCATTAATACAATGTAATTTAATTTAATTTTAAAAAACAATCTTTTTTAACTTTTAAGTTCAGAGGTACAATTGCAGGTTTGTTACATAGGTAAACTTGTGTCATGGGGCTTCGTTTTACAGATTATTTCATACCCCCAGGTATTAAGCGTAGTACCCATTAGTTGTTTTTCCTGATCCTCTCCCTCCTCCCACCCTTCACCCCTGAAAGGCCCCAGTGTGTGTTGTTCCCCTCTATGTGTCTATCATTTAGCTTCCACATATAGGTGAGAACATGCAGCATTTTGTTTTCTGTTCCTGTGCTAATTGCTAAAGATAGTGGCCTCCAGCTTCATCCATGTCCCTGCAAAGGACATGATCTCAGTTTTCTAATAGTTGTATAACATTCCATGGTGTATGTGTACCACATTTTCTTTATCCAGTCTATCACTGATGGACATTTAGACAGATTCCATGTTTTGCTATTGTGAATAGTGCTGAAATGAACATATGCATACATATGGCTTTATAATAGAATGATTTATATTCCTTTGGGTATATACCCAGTAATGGGATTGTTGGGTCAAATAATATTTCTGGTTCTAAATCTTCGAGGAGTCGCCACAGTGTCTTCCACAATGGCTGAACTAATTTACACTCCTACCAACAGTGTAAAAGTGTTCCTTTTACTCTGCAACCTTGACAGCATCTGTTATTTTTTTGACTTTTTAGTAATAACCATTCTGACTGGTATTAGATGGTATCTCATTGCAGTTTTGATTTGCATTTCTCTCATAATTAGTGATGTTGAGCTTTTTTGTATATGATTGTTACTGCATATATGTCTTCTTTTGAAAAATGTCTGTTATGTCCTTTGCCCACTTTTTTTATGGGGTTGTTTTTTCTTCTTTTAAATATGTTTAAGTTCCTTACAGATGCTAGATATTAGACCTTTGTCAGATGCATAGTTTGCAAAAATTTTCTCCCATTCTGTAGGTTGTCTGTTTATTCTGTTGATAGTTTCTTTTGCTGTGCAGAAGCTCTTTAGTTTAATTAGATCCCATTTGTCAATTTTTGCTTGTGTTGCAATTGCTTTTGGCATCTTCCTCATTAAATTTTTGTCCATGCCTGTGTCTTGAATGACATTGCCTAGGTTGTCTTCCAGAGTTTGTATAGTTTTGGGTTTTACATTTAAGTCTTTAACCCGTCTTGAGTTAATTTTTGTATATGGTATATGGAAGGGGTCCAGTTTTAATCTTGTGCATATGGCTAGCCAGTTATCCCAGCACCATTTATTGAATAAGGTGTCCTTTCCCCATTGCTTGTTTTTGTCAGGTTTATTGAAGATCAGATAGTTGTAGGTATGCAGTCTTATTTCTGGCTTCTCTATTCTGCTCCATTGATCTATGTGTCTCTTTTTTTACCAGTACCATGCTGAAGAAACAACCTTAAAAACAACCAGAGAAAAAAAAGACATATTACATACAGAGGAAAAATACAAGGATGACACAAGATTTTTATACCGAGCCAAGCTTGTTATGACTGTGGCATAGTAAGCCAATCACTGAGACAACAGTTTTGTCATGGAGAATAAGTTTTAGACAAAAAGCAGAGCAACAAAGAGATGGGAAAGCAGCTCTAAAATCCCCCTCCCCGATAATGGAGTTATAGGGCTCTTTATGGGATAAAGGAGCAAGGTGGTCCAAGACATGGGGAAAGGTGATTGAGAGTAAGAAAATATGAAGCAATTGATGATCTGCACAAGCATAGTCAAGCTTCATGGTTCTTCATAGGATGCATATTCACAAATTATGTCATTAGCATAATCTGAGAGTGGAGTTTTTGGCCCTCTGACATCAAAAAGTCACGCATCTATACTCACACAGGCCCATTTGGAGGGTCAGTGGTCTCAGTGGCTTGAACTGGATGAGAACTAACTCTAAGTTCCTGAAAAACAACTTAAGTAATTGTTACCATGGTGACATATATATTAGAGACATTATGTATAAGGAAGCTAGTGGGAGTTTAGTTAAACTTGTTTAGCCACCTGACTTTTAGCTACATAACGTCTTAAAATCAACTGAAAGCAAGTGACTAAAACAAGGCAGAGTAAGTTAAGTTGGGCAGGCCTAATCTGGTAAGCCTTCAGTTTTAGTATCTTATTGGAAACAATGAGAAATCATTGGAGCACGGTCTTGTGGACATATAGCTCTACACACAGCAATGAAGAACACTGGAAAGGCTTTGAAAAAAAAAAGAAAAACATAAAATACAATGAAAATATAAAACTTGTTTTATCCAAGGTGCCAGTATCTCTACTGTTTGCCTACTGCAATGCCAGGATCTCAGAGACAAATAAAAAATGTGATAGAAACAATCCCCTATATCAGTAGTTGAGAGGACAATGCAAACAAATACATCAGAGAATATTATATGAGCTCATACAATTGTGTAACATCTATCTATCTATCTATCTATCTATCTATCTATCTATCTATCTATCTATCTATCTATCTATTCATCCATCCATCCATCCCATGGTAATGCATGACATTTATCATGGCAGGTGTCTCAGTCTGGGTTTTCCCAGAATTATATCCTAAGATGAGGGTTAGAGTGCAAGTAAATCACTTGGGAAGTGATTCCTGGAAGCACCAGCAACGAGTGGGAAAGTGAGATGGGGAAAAGGGAAAGGCAGGCCACAAATTAAAGTATCATTATCAAGAAGATAAACACTGTGTGCAACTAGAGTCTAATCACACCAGGAAATTGTGGATCAGTGTACAGCAGTGGCCTCAGGTGGAACTTACTCTTGCAGAGAGAATCATGGCCTTCCAAAGACAACCATGCCCTAATCTCCAGAGCCTAAGACTATGTTATGTTACATGTCAAGGGAAAATTAAGATTTCACATGTATTTAAGGTCACTAATCAGCTGGCCTTAAGATAAAGAGAATATCTTGCATTATCCAAGTGCTCCCAATATAATCACAAGGGTCTTTTAAATGAGGAAGAAGAAAACAGATGGTGAAATTCAGAGATAGATTTGAAGCTGTGGCTGGCTTGGAAGGAAGGGGGCTATAAGCTGAGAAACAGAGGAGGCCTCTAGAGCTGGAAAGGACAAGGAAACAGAATCTTTTCTTGAGATTTCAGAAGGAATTTAACTCTGTTACAACCTGATTTTAGCCCAATTAGACACATTTTAGATTTAATACCTTCAGAAATATAAGATATTTGTATTGTTTTAATTTACCACTAAGTTTATGTTAATCCCTTACATTAGTAATAGTAAACTAATATACCCACTTGAGGGGTGAGGTAGTTGGGTATTTATAACACATACCATTGGTTGGTAATTGCTTCTGTATGTGGAAAGAAAGTGGCCCCCAAAAGAGAGAGAAAGCCCTTTGGTTGCTGGAGGTTAGCTAATAGGCACTATAAAGGTAAGGCCTGCTGGAATGTGGGCACTGCACTTACTAGTAAAATAGGCTGGCCTCCCTCTTCCTGTCCTTTCCACCCCTTCTTCATTCATCTAACATTTCTCGAGCTTTTATTATGTAACAGACTTTATGCTAGATGCTGGAAATAGAAAGACACTGTATACATTTCTAGCCTAGAAGGTTCAACAAAGAGGAAAATGTTTACATTTCCTAGATTCTCAGTTCTAGACTCTAGGATAGATTGCTGAGATATTTTTCATCAATGGAAAGAAACACATTTTTGTTGGGTTTTTCAAAGAACGTGACATGACACACCATTTTTACAAGGGATAATTTTAGTGCAGAATAAAATAGAGCAGATAAACTGTCACCCAAATGAAGAAATGCCACATTTATTGTTCTAAGGCGTCCAGAGCAAGATATCTTTTTGGTATGAATGTGCAATTCTACACACAATTATTTCTTTCTTGGATGTGAGCTAATTTCTATTGGACATTAAATTCTATAGGAAGGTGAAGATTAGTCTATCTGGATGCCTGTTTGTTTTTAATGAAGATGTTACACAAAATAAAAATGAAGAGCATCTGATAAACTTGTATACAAACACTCACACACAAATCTTCTTTAGGCATATCTCAAGGTATTTTTCCTTCCTCATAATGTGCTATTTACACTTGACTCATAATACCAGTTTCTAGGTATTTCAGAATACCCAGAAGTTTAGCACAAATACAACAATGGTTATGCTACAGTGGAAATGAAGTAAGCAATAGATGCTACTGCAGTAATTTTTGAAATTTCTTTGTTCTTATAAATGGTCAGGCACTGCATTAAAATTTGGAAGATTGCACACTTGCAGCCTCTGGTGACTTCCCAGATTGAATGAGGTATTGCCTCCCTCATACTCTTGTAACAATCTTTAGACCTGTATTTCTCCCTTCCATGTTGTAGGGTAGCTATTTATTTAATGTCTGTCTACTGCAGTAAGCCGTGTGTGCTCCTGAAAGCTGGGTTTTGATAATCTTATTGTTCTTTCTCTGGCATCTAGATCATGCTTGACATATGTTAAATTCTTTAAAAATATTCACCAAATCAGTGGGCAAAAGAAGTTGACAAACTCAAGCAATGTATTTCGTATTTATTATTTTATAGGCTTAAAGTAGACAATTTTGTTCTGTGTTGGCTGAGTTAATCACTTGTGAAAAACAGCAAAATTATATTGAATTTCAAACACATGATAACCTTCTGTTGTATTGAGCTAATCAATGGGTGTGTTTATCTTCTTTTTACTAGTACCATGGTTTACTGTGTTTTCCAAAATACTCTTTGTCATTAATTAAAACAAACCACATTATGGTACCATATAATCTATTTTCTAAATGAAAACACTCTGTGGTTTTGAAAGTTCGTTTCTGGTCCACAAACAAATAATTTCATGCTCTTATCCTCATACTATTTGAGTCTTAGTTTTTCCATTTATACAATGGAGAAAGTAAAAATAGAAATGCAGTTTTTTATTTCAGAGAGTTATTATGAGGATCAAATAAGCTGGAGGACATCAAAGCAAATAGTATATCATCTTTTCTTTTACTTTTTATTTTTTATTTATACCTAATAATTGTACATTTTGTGGGGCACATAGTGATGTTTTGATGTTTTGATACATGTATTGTATCAGATCAGGGCAATTAGTATTTTCGTCATCTCAAACATTTGTTATTTCTTTCTGTTGGAAACTTTAAATATCCTCCTTCTAGCTATTTGAAGCTATATATTATCATTAAGTACAGTCATCCTATAGTGCTATAGAATGCTAGAACTTTTTCCTCTTATGTAGCTGTAATTGTGTATTATTTAACAAATCTCTCCCTATCCCTCTGTTCCCCTTACCCCTCCCAGCCTCTAGTATCATCTGTATTAAGAAAATACGGATATATGGATGAGAGGACAACAGGTTATAGATTTTGATAGTGGGATATCTTAAAGGGAAGGAACTAGTTAATTATCCATAAATTCCTTCAATGGTGTGAATATTGCCCTTTATTATGGCATAATTCTTAAAATTTATGCTATTGCTTTGAGAAGCACATCGAAGAGCCATGCCAAACCATTCTATAACTTTCAGGACCTTGGACAGCTTCTTTGCTTCAAGATAGCCAAGAGGTTAAGGCAAAGACAACCCAACAGGGCAAATTTTTTTTTCTGAAAAAGAAAGTTTGTTTTTAACCCACACTGTAGCGTTGTTTATAGCCTCCTCCCAGTTCATCCTTGAATCCATAGTATATTTCTCTATACATACTCCTGGATAAGAAGAAACAAATAATAGGAAGATAAAGTTAGGTATTGTCATCAGAGCATTAACACAGTGATCTTATTTTCGTAAACTCTTAATATCATATATATATATATTTGCATCTTTCTTTTTTCTTTCTTTTGTTTTTAGAGATAGGGTCTTGCTGTGTTGCCTAGGTTTGTCTCAAACTGCTGGCCTCAAGTGATCCTCTTGCCTCAGTCTCCAAAAACATTGGGATTATAGGTATGAGCCACCATGCCTGGCCCAGCATCTTATGTTTTGTAGCATCTAGCCATAATGTATTTTTAAAAATTTCCTGGCCGGGCGTGGTGGCTCATGCCTGTAATCCCAGCACTTTGGGAGGCCGAGGTGGGCGGATCACAAGGTCAAGAGATCAAGACCATCCTGGCCAACATGATGAAACCCCGTCTCTATTAAAAGTACAAAAATTAGCTGGGCGTAGTGGCGCACGCCTGTAGTCCCAGCTACTTGGGAGGCTGAGGCAGGAGAATCGCTTGAACCTGGGAGGCAGAGGTTGCAGTGAGCCGGGATTGTGCCACTGCACTCCAGCCTGGCGACAGGGCGGGACTCCGTCTCAAAAAAAAAAAAAAAAAAAAAAAAATTTCCTGTCTGTCTGAATTCAGGAACCCCAGGTAACTTTGTGTCAATGTTATCTCTGATTTCCTCCACAGAGTCTCTATGGGAAATATTGTAGAGGTTATGGCTTCCACCCTAACAATAATATAACATAAAAGGAAATTCTAAAATCTTGCTCATATCTAATGGGAGCATTTTTGGGAGGCATTGTGCACACATTGCTAGAGAGCTATGAAGGAACTGTTTCAAATGAAGAGAAATGCAAGCCTAGGCAGTATGAAATGTATCTTGGTAACAGCCCTCTGTCCTGTAATTTATCCCACCTAGTTTTCTTTTTGTTTAGATTGTCCCACTTAATTTCCTTTTGTTTAGATTGTTGGTTTTTATTTTCAGCAATGTCAAATGTAGGTAGTAATTTGATTTATAATAAGAGCTTACATCCAAATGTTTTGATAGCAGAGTCAAAAGAAATACAACCTGAGCCATCCCCAGGGAGTCATATACATACGGACTCACATGCATGCACAAACACACACAGGAGCCACATTTGCAACTGCATTACGGATTTACAAAATTACTTGTATTTCATTCAAGACCGCTCTAATGGGTTTTACCAGATCAGAAGTGAAAATTTTAAATAAATTAATAGACAGTTTAACCCAGGTTATAGTCAGTCACTCAGGCAATCAGTCTAGCTTTGTCTGTGTATTTTACAAACTGGCCACCCAAGTTCAGAGTGAATATAGGAACAAAAAATCAAGAAGACCACAGGTAAACATAGGCCAAAGGGTTAACCAACCAGCCCTTACTAAAAAAGTTAGTCGTCATCATTTTGCCCCACTTCCTCATCGCCTTTCATGGTGTTTCACAAATTTTATAGGTAAATGAGTAAGGATGTGATCTCATTCACTTATCTATTCCGTTTGAATATAAAACATTTTGTTTCCTTCCCAAATCTTTAATTGTATCTTGATAAAGAATTCAAGCTTCTTTGTACTTTGTAGGAGTTGGAGATTTTTTTTTTTTTGGTTGATCATGAATTATTGAAGTTCAGTGGACTGGAATTGGAACACTTGGATCGGAGATTTTATTCTGCCAATTATTACATGTGTAAATTTGGGCAAGTTAGCTAACTTTAGAAACAGTCGTCTTGTCAGTTAATGAGGGTATTATTATATCTGTAATGCCTTTCATCACACATGGCTTTTGGGGGAGTCAGATAATAAGAGTAAAAGTAACTTATAAACTGAACAAATAAAAAAGACAATGATTTACCAACTACTTCCAACATTACTATTTAAACCATGACTTTGAGATGCTATATTTTAAGAATGAAAAAGAAAGTAATCTTTATTTTAAGGAGAGGGGCAAGGCAATAATTTTCCATAAGAGGGCACAGACACTATATACAAAATGGAATCTGTCTCAGTTTTCAGAATTTTCATTTGCTAGCTCGAGTGCAAGCTGCTTGTGTTAGTTTGCGAGGACTTCCATACAAAATATCATATAATAGGTGCTTTAAATAACGGAAATTTCTTTTCTCACAATTCTGGAGGCTAGAAGTTCAAGAGCAAGTTGTTGGAAGATGTAGTTTCTTCTGAGGACCTCTGGCTTGGCCTGCAGATGGCCACCTTCTTGCTGTGTCCTCACATGATCTTTTCTTTTGTGCACACACATCTCTGGCATGTTTTTGTGTGTCCATATTTCTTATAAAGACATTAGTCTCATTGGATTAGGACCCACTCTAAGGACTTCATTTTAAGTTAATCACCTCTTGCTCTTGCTCTAAATACAGTCACATTCTGAGTTATGGATGGTTGGGGCTTCAATGTATGCATGAAGGGAGCATAAATCCGTAACGTTTGACTTTTGGATCTCCAAAATCCCTGTCCTTCTCATATGCAAAATACATTCACCCTAATCCCAACAGTCCAAAATCTTTACCGATTTCAGCATCAATTCTAACTTCCAAAACTCATGTAAATATTATCTAAATCAAGTATGATGAGAGACTTGAGGTATGATTCATCCTGAAGCAGAATTTCACTCCAGCTGTGAACTTGTAAAATTGTACAAGTTCCGTATATTGAAAATCCATTGCTAAGACAGGAATGGGATGAAAATTCTCATTCCAAAAGGAATAAATATGAAAGAAGAAAGGAATCATAGATCCCTAGCAAGTTTCAAATGTAACAGACTAAATTCTATTAGATATTAAGGCTCAGTAGTAATCCTGTTTGGCTTAATGCCCTGCGCTCCAGGCCCACTGGGGTGGTGGCTCTGCTTTGTGGGTCCACCGGGACAGCAATGTTGCCTTAGCCCTGGGAAATAGCGTCGTCTTCTGATGCCTTGAGTGACAGTCCTGTCTCTATCATCCTGGGAAGTGGCAGCCTGGTCCACTGAAGCTAAGGAGGTGCCCCTCATTCTGAAATCAAGAAAGAGACAGCCTTGGCTTTCCATCCTCCCACCAGACCTGGGCCCATGGTGAGAGTGGCAGTCCCGCCAATCTCTGAATAGCTTCTGGGGTCATTCTTTCATTTCCTTGATGATGGATAACATATGTTTACAGCCATTTAACTTGATTAAATGGATATTGAATTCTCCCATCCTGTAGAATTCTGGTATTCCAATAGCCTTTCTTTATTTGGGGCTATGTCTGTCCCCTTTAGTCCAAGCCGACAGTGTTTTCTGCTGATATAAGCCCATATTTATTCCTGGCTTCTGCTGAGATAAGTGATTAGATCTATGAGTCACATCCATAATTTCTTTATGGAGTAATTGTCCAGCTACATTCTTGGTTTTCTTTCCAAAACATACCTTTTATTTTTTTTCAATAGGAATAAGCTGATAATTATTCAAATATTCAAGTTCTGGTTGCTTTTTGCTTAACAATTTCTTCTTCAATAATCTCTTTCCTCTTGCAGTTTACTATAAGCAGTAAGGAGAAACTAGACTGTACCTTCAACACTTTGCTCAGAAATTATTTCAGCTGAATACCCAGGTTTGTCACCTACAATTTCTACTTTCCACAAAACACTGGGACACAGTTCAGCTAATCTCTCTGCCATTTTATGGTAAGTGTTGTCTTTCCTCTAGTGTCAAAAAATATATTTCTAATTTTCACCTGAGGCCACAACAGAAGCAAGCACATTTAATGTCCATGATTTTACAGAAAGTTTGTTCAAGGCAATCTAAGCTTCCTCTAATCTGTGCCTCAAACCTCTCACAGCCTCTACTCATTACTTCTAAAGCTGCTTCCACATTTTTAGGTGTTCAGTTCTTTAGCATCCCACATCGTGGTACCAAAATCTGTATTAGTTTTCTGGGGCTGCCATAACAAAATACCACAGACAACAAAAATGTATTTTCTCATGGTTAGGAGACTAGAAATTCAGTATCAAGTTTCAGCAAGCCTGAGCCTCTCTTCTTGGCTTGCAGATGGCCATCTTCTGTCTCTGTTCCCACGTGATCTTTCCTTTGCACCTGAGCATCCATGGCAGTTCTTTTTTGTCTACAAAATTTCTTCTTCTTACAAGAACACCGGTAAGTTTGGATTAGGGCCCACCCTAAGAGCCTCATTTTTACTTAATCACCTCTTTAGAGGACCTGTCTCCAAATACAGTCACATTCTGAGATTCTGGGAGTTAGCGTTTCAACATATGATTTTGGAAAGACAGTTTCGTAACTTAACAATAAATGAACAATTTGAGCTTAACATAATGATGAATTTTGACTTAGGAAGAAGCATAGCTTTAGCCCATGTAACACTGTTGTATATCATCACTGTGAAAGGACTGGCATCTTAGTGATTTTAAAACCATGTTTCCCTGAGTCTCGGGCAGTGAGTCAGGAGGGCTATGTAGACTGTGTCCATGGTTAGGTGGAGATGCTGATGGGTTTCGGCTCTCAGACCTGTTGGACACAGATGTACCATACCAGGGGAAAGTGCTAAATTGCTTGTAAATTCACTGGCACTCCAATACTCTATCCATGTCTGGAAATAAATGAACATAGAGTCTGTGATCATATTAACTGAACCACACATTTGGCTAGGAATATCAGATGATAAAACTGAGTAATTAAAATAAAAATTGTTCTAGGATACCTGGAATGCACAGCAATTGCTCCTTTTCTTAAATGTTGATGGCCTTACGCAATGGTGTTCACAGCACACCCCTCTTTATCTTGGGGATGCTTTCTCTGATGGATGGGCTTCAAAATTGCTAATACACGAATTACTCATATTTAGACATTTGTTCTTTTAGGTGCCAGACTGTTTTCTTTTGGAATGTATTTTTGTGTGATGCAATTTGTCACCTAGATCTTAGCATTAACTTTTAAAGGATGAATGTTGATATATTGGTTCTCTTTTTTTATAATTTCTTGTATGACAAAGTAATTACTACCTACTGTGTTCTAGGCACCACACTAAGTGCTATTAATGTAGCCGTGAATTTACGTTGTCTTCACCAAGGGTATCATAATCTAATTTAAAGTATTTTTTCCTCTTGTAGAAATACCTTCTTCCATGTATAAAGGCACCTAAAATGTTGTACAGCTCAATTAAGCTTAGTATCTTTCTTGTTTTACTCAATCTCAGTTTATAACTGTTGTAGATTAAATAATGGCCCTTCAAATATGTCCACATCCTGATCCCCAAAACTTGTGAATGTTTCCTTTTAATGCTAAAACAATTTAAATATGTGATTAAGGATCTTGATATCGGGAGATTATCCTGGATCATCCTGGTGAACTGCTATAATCACAGTTGTTTTTATGAAAATAAATAAAGAAGGTTCAAAGAAGAAGAGAAGGTGGCAAGGTGATAATGGAAGCAGAGATAGGAATGAGTCACTTTGAAAAAGGTGGAGGACCCCAAGCTAAGGAATATAGGCAGCCACTAAAAAGCAGGGAAAGAGTCTCCCTTCAAAGTCCCCAGAAAGAATCAACCTTGCTGGTACCATGACATTAACTCAGAGAGACCATTTTTGAACTTCTGACCTCCAGAATTGCAAGATAATAAAATTTTGTTATTTTAAGCCACTGAAGGTTGTGGTACTTTGTCATAGCAGCAACAGGAAACTAATAGAATCACATTAATAATCACCAGTACACTCAAAATCATTTATCTACATTCTTCTTTACAATCTGCTCCCACATACTATTACCACTGTTATTAATTTATCCATCTTAATTGTAATCCTTCCTTCCGTATTTGCATCATGCTCTTAATTTAGAAACTTGACATTC
Organism: Homo sapiens; assembly: GCF_000001405.40. NCBI lineage: Eukaryota > Metazoa > Chordata > Mammalia > Primates > Hominidae > Homo > Homo sapiens. The sequence goes on from NC_000010.11 coordinate 81,984,438, forward strand.
CACTTGAAATCTTATGGTCAGTTTCCAAATGGTATCTCTGTTTTCAGCCTCACTCCTTCCAAACTTTTCTCCAGATTGTTTCCAAAATTTTCTCATAAAAGCCAAATACGAACTTTTTTCTTCTTAAAATCCTGTGATACCTCATGAGCTTCTGTCCTGTTTGCCAAACTCCTATTCACTCGTCAAGAGGCAGTTTAAATATCTTCTTTTCTGTGACTCTTTCCACAGACATAAATGTTTGCATTATCTTCTATGTTTCAAAGGCATCTTGAATATATTTTCTTGAAAAATCCTTTTATATCTATCGAGACAGATAGATATAGAGATAGATGCATTCCAGGGCAGCCTGTTTTATTACTATACATATACAAAAAGACTCAAAAGGATAAGTAATAAAATGTATTAACTGCAAATTCCTTCTGGAGGTAACATTATAAAATATGTGCTAATAACAGGAGAAAAGAAACAGTGAAAAAATACAAAACGGTGTTTTCAAAATATGTTTTTCATAAATAGCAAAGGCTTTAGAGGAGATATGTTACAATGCCCAGAAAACACAAAGGAAACACAGTATGCAAAGATTTACACATGTATGTAGACATATCAGGGAAGGGACCAGAGAACAGGAAGATAAATACAATAATAGTTAACATCCATTGTGTGCTTTCCATGAGCCAATACTGTTCTAAGGGTTTTCATGTTAATTCACTAAACAATCCTTCGAGACAAGTGTTGTTAATAACCACTTTTAAAGTTGTTATGGAGACTGAGCACAACATTAATACAACTAGGAAGGGATTTGAACTCAGAAAGTCTGTTTCCAGAGCTTGTTTTCATATCCAATATGCTTTACCATCTCAGCTGGAAGGTTTTCCACTGCTGCTGGATGGGCTTTTCTGAAAGTGACCTAGGCCAAGCCATGACGGCCAAAGTGGCCCAAGCTCATCTTCAGAGATGTTCACTGGATGGTGGTGTTCTTATTTTTCAACTCCAAACTCAGCCTGTAATTCTCACCAATTTCAAATCTGCAATCACTTAAGTCTATAATCGCTATCAATGATATTTCTAACACATCCCAGCAATTCTTAAAAATGTCTCTCCTTATTGTAAGAACTCCTAATTCCACGAGTGATTATTAATGCAGGGAGAGAGATGAGAAGTTACCTTTGGGGATATAATTGAAAAGTGAGTAGGAAGCAGGCAGAGGAAGATGAAGTAATGACAGAGATTGTGTTGTGAGTAACGCAGATACTTTCAATAGGATATGCCCAAGTTTTAAGTGTGTGAATTTTCAATGCTTCTCTTTATCCTCCATTGTGTCATATAGCATGAATCACCCACATGAGTGGGTCATCAAATCAATTTTGTGGGTCACAATTAGCCTTTGATAAAGGAAAATAACATAGAATGGAACAGAAGAGCATAATATATACCATAACATAGCGTAGGTATATTTGCATAAATCTGTATCAGTCATTTCACACTTTGCAAAAATTACTGCAACAAGTGGTAAGTCACAGTGCCAGAGAGCCAATTAGTAGAGGGAGTACACTGAAGATGCCCACTGGGTAGAATGGCTTGTTTTGTCTTTTTAAAATTAACTTCTTATTTGATTTTTTGGCCTGGGAGAATCACTTTGATCATCACTGTAAAGAAAGGGCACAGTTTATTTTATATTAACATAATTATTAGTTAATTGTGAGATGAAGCCAGGAATTATTTTTCTATCATGAATAAAAGTATTGAGATTTTCAGTCAAGTTTCAGGCTGCAAAATTAGGCTGTTTTTCAGAAAGAACATTACCAAATTTGTAACTGTAACATTCTAGTAAATTTAATACTAGTACCCTTAAAATTAACTGATATATTATTAAAAAGAAAAAATTATGAATTTAAAAATGTAAAGGTATGTTTTAGTTCAACTGAAGGATTTCAAAATGTAAATAGTGAAAACATTGAGAAAAATATTGACAAAGGAGCAACACTGTCAATTTCAGGCAAAAGTTTAAAATGAAAAATTTAGTACAAATCATGAAACCTAAGACACTCAAAATCATTTTAATCAAATATGAAAAATCCAGTGAAAATGACGCCTGTGTTTATGTAATGATATTTTGCAAATAAAACCTTAAAACTTTCAAAATTAAAATGATACTTGGAAATAAAGGTTATTGTACTTACCATGTCTTTTAATTATTTGTAAGGAAGGGAAAATATAAATTCATTGGCACAATGTCTTATTCATTTGAATTTTTTATTTTATTTTAATTTTTTTGAGGCAGTCTTGCTCTGTCACCCAGACGAGAGCACAGTGGCATGATCATTGCCATCTTGATCTACTGGGCTAAAGTGATCCTCCTGCCTCAGCCTTCTGACTACAGGTGCATGCCACCATTCCCAGCTAATTTTATTTTATTTTATAATTTGTAGAGACAAGTACTCATTACATTTCCCAGGCTGAACTTGAACTCCTGAACTTAAGTAATCCTCCCACCTTGGCCTCCCAAAGTGCTGGGATTCCACAACCTTTAATATAAAATTTCTACTATTGCATAGTTACAGCATCATTGTGTGTTTAAAAAAATAGCACATATAACTTTGAAAACTATATTACCCTGTATAGATGCCATAGTGTGTGTGTGTGCATTTTTTTTTTTCTGAGAGGGAGTCTTGCTCTGCTAGCTCTTGTTGCCTAGGCTGGAGTGCAGTGACGCGATCTCGGCTCACAGCAACCTCTGCCTCCCAGGTTCAAGCAATTCTGCCTCAGCCTCCCAAGTAGTTGGGACTACAGGCGCACGCCACCACACCCGGATAATTTTTGTATTTTTAGTAGAGACCTGGTTTCGCCTTGTTGGCCAGGCTGGTCTCGAACTCCTGACCTCAGGTGATCCGCCTGCTTCAGCCTCCCAAAGTTCTGGGATGACAGGCGTGAGCCACCATGCCTGGCCTATTTTTAAGAACAAATTATCTGACAGAAATAAAACCTTTATTTTTTGACACGATATCCCATTTTGTAACTTTTAGAAACAATGACTGCTATATTGATACAATCCAGTATAAATAAGCAAATCAACCTGATGTGAGAAATGACAGTCAAGAGTGTGTAAAAATGCTAGCTAATGGCAAATGGCAAAATGGCTTTTGGAGGGTATGTAATGTAGTTAAAATTTGATTAAATGTTCTTTGGAATTGGATAAGAGCATCGTTGATCAATATGAATGACACTGGTAAAATGATATATGAGTTACAATTGAGAGAGCAAAATATGTGACTAGGAAATTATCAGAAGCTACTAATAATAAGCTCTTTGAAGTCACTTGTTAAATTTATCTTAGAGCTTTGATATCCAAAGAAATTTAGCTGCCTTTTATGGATGGGGAAAGTAAGTGAAAAATGTTTGTTTTATTAAAGGAAGCTCACTGAAATGTTTTTGATATATTTCGTCCAGAGATTGGTGCTATGCATATCCATATTTTCTACCATCCTAGCATTCTTAGATTGTCATGACCAACAATACTGAGCAAAGGTAAGAATCAAGATACAAGATTCACTTTTTGGTTATTGTTGGAGAATAATCTTGTATAGTAAGTAATTTCTAAGATAATATTTGGGTTAAAATGGCAGATTTAATAAACTAGGAAAACAAAGAAAAAACCAAAATGCATTTCAATATATTGACCTTATCCAAAGGTGATAGTGTAGTGTTTTGATATTTAATTTACAGAAATGCTCTGAAATAACTATTGCCATCCTGCTTTCTTAAGTAAATGGTCTAGAGGTCGTAGGAGTTAGCCCAGCTCCACTACCATGGAGCAAGTTAATTTGTAGAGATAAGATTTGAACTCAGTTCAAATAAGGCTCTGAAAGCTATGTTAAGGCCTCTCACTGCCCTCCCTCTGTAAGTAAGAAATGTGAGGAAACCAAGATTTACTCATTAAGCATGCCCGGCTTTGATATATTTTCCCAGATTAGAGGAACAGATGGCTCTTAGTGGTGGTTTTTGTTGTTTTCATGGTTATTGTTATTATTATTGCTAATGCCTACCTATTTTCCCTATCAAATGAATCAGGAAGCTTTGTCCAGTCCCTCTTAATTAAATGCAGTGAGAGAAATGGGATATCAATCCAATACATTGAGCTCAGCTTGTCCTGAGAGTCAGGGTGCCTAGAGAATATTTGATATGCCATGAGTTGCACAGTGTTATAATGGGCCCTGAGTTAGTGTTTTGTGTATAGTATTCGTGGTAGAGTCCTGTCTCTTCCCAGATAAGTGTGTGTTATATAGGATATAACAGTAAGTAGACATAAGTGCTTGTTTTTATTATTAGAAGGCTGATAAGGAGCAGAGAACTTGTGGTCTTAGCAGCCCACATTAAGGAATGCAGGTTCTATTTAAGTGCAATGATAAATCAATGATGGATTTCCAAACCCGGATGTACTTTTTTTTTTTTTTGAGGAAAAGAAAAACCTTTGTTGATGCATAAGGAAAGGCTGGGTAGAAGAACAGAGTTAAGGGTGGGAGGCCAGTTAGGAGACTGTTGAAGTAACGCAAGTGAGGCATTATAGTGGAATGGACTAGGGTGGTTAGAGCAGAAATGAAATTACACTCTCTGTATATTGCAGAGGTAGAATTAATCAAATAGGACATCTGAATATATTAGATGGGGTGAGGGAAAATGGACTAATCAAAGACAACCCTTATTTCTGGCTATAGGAATAGGATATTGTCATTAACTACATTGGGAGACTTCGAGTACGGAGAGTTTTTTTGGATTGTGGAAAATTAAGGGTTCTGTTGGGAGATGCACATTAGAAAACTAAGTGAACTTGCTAAGTATACAGTTGGAGATTAAAGCAAAAGAGTTATCAGTCTATAGATAGTTAGAGTTAGTGTGTAGACATCTAGTATAAGATCACCTAGGAAAAGATATAGATGGTGAAGAAAAGAGGACCCAGTCGCATACCTTAAAGTACATTGACATTAAGAAACTCGACAGAGAAAGAAGAAATAGCAAAGAAACGCAAAAGTGACTGTGATGCAGAGATAGAATCAAGGAGAGATTTGAGGTTTACTTACTATATTAAATGTGGAGAATTTGAAGATGAATCTAAAAAATATTTGTCTGTTTTCTCCGAGGGAATATTTTTATGGTTCATTTATAAAGTCATCTGTATTGTTTTATGTGACAAAACTGGTTTCATTGGTTCTTTAGATTACTTACTGTCATTTTTGGATTTGAGGTCATAGGAGCCCAGAGGGGCAAAACTCTCAGTAGGAAGCATCAGTCGTGTCAATACTGCTGTGAGGCTGAGTAGAAAGATGAGAAGTGAGAACTTTTTCTTTTGGTGACCAACAAGTTATTGATGGCCTTGAGAAAAATGCGACTCTGGAGATGTGTCTGCAGAAGCTGGACTGTAGTTGGTGAAAAAATGGACAGGAAATGAAAAAATGGAAAAAAAATCTGTCCAGAAGGTTGACTATGAAGAGGAGCAGAGAAATGAAGTATAAATTAGGAGAAGGCTAATTGTTCAGGGGGCAAATTTTTTACAGTAGGAATATTATAGATCATGTATGAAACTTAAGGGACTGATGCTGGAGAAAGTTTGAAGAGGCAAAATATGCAAAGAGGAATGTTTGGATGGTCCTTGAGAAGGTGTTTGCGACAGAGTTTGTAGTCTAAGAAGTGATTGTCCGTATCTTTACTCTTTAGATCTCAATGTTCTCATCTGTAAAACGGTGGAGTAGCTGTGGATTATTTCCAAGCTTCTTTGTGACTTGAATATTCTACAAATTTATTACTGTTAGTCATGCATATGCTAGTAAGCAGTGATGAACATGGGAGATGTATCCTGAGGCTGTTTACTCTCATATTAAAAGTGGAGAATTTGAAGATAAATCTAAAAGATACTTAAGTCTATTTTCTCCAAGGGAATATTTTTATGGTTCATTTATGAAGTCATCTGTATTTTATGTGAGAAAACTGGTTTCATTGTTCTTTAGATTACTTATCCTCTTGTAGAAACTGTAACTATTTTGAAGTTTGAGGCTGCAACATATTCACATTGGTTTCACTGTTTTAATCTTATTTTCACTGCTTTTGCCATCTAACCATAAGATATTGGTGCAGTAAGGATAATTAAGTAAGATAAGTTTATTAACAGCAGCAAGTATCTTGAAGACATACCCATTTCAGATGTATGTTAATGACCATATTTTTTACTCTACTATGCTGGAAGGTTTTCGATGGAATTCCCGGAAAAGAGACTTATAGCAGCCATATAAATAACAATTACAGAGAGTATTATTGGTATTTATGCTGAAATGCCTTTTATATTGTCTTTAATACTTGAGTAGAACTTAATTGAATTATATTTGTCAAGGTAACTTTTTCCTCTTAAGAAAAATCCCGTTGCTTAAAATTAAAAAAAATAAACCTAGTATTTTCTACCTACTAGTAAAATGCAAGTTTACATATTAAACTCTTGCTTTGCAAATGTTAAATTGGTTGAAATGAGTCAAATTGGCAATTTGTTTGTAACTAGAATGTGTGTGAGAAGCTGAGTCAAAAATTTGAGAAGCCTCCATTGCCCTTTTCAACTTACATGGTACTTATTTATGCAAAAGGAAGGCACATCAGGTATGTCGTGACATGGGCTGAAACCTATGTCCATAGAACCAGGAAGAGTTGGGCATGGGATATAGCTGGTTGATGGAAACTTTCAAGCTGATATTTCAGTGTTAATTATTGTCTTCAATATGTACATTGTTTCCAAGAATCATATTTTGCTTTATCAAATGGATGCATTATTATATTTTGTTAATATCTCTGATCCTTTTTTGTTCAGAAAATGGTTATTATCTCAAAAATCATAGGATTTGAGAAAGATTACATGATATAACAAGTATAAATTGTAGATCATAGAACTTGGCACCTAGTAAGCACTCTGCCTCAGCACTCATGCTCAAAGTCTGTTAATGAGATCTGAATCTGGTGGTTTTACAGGGTACAAAACCACAATGATTTGTGAATATGTGAGTCTATGGTAGAATATTAATGTGGAAATAATCTGGAGTGCATACACTGTGTGGGTCCCCCAAAGGCATGGGTGATTGTAGGCATAATTAACCAACCTTCCTTACTCAGAAAGTGGAAATGGCAAGTTAGAGTTTTCTAAAATATAAAAGCCTATTTACCAGTTCTGTGATGAGATTTTTTTTAAAAATCCACACAAAAACAAAACAAAATGAAAACCACACATGATTTAGCTTGTTTGGATTGCTATTTGATGATATTTAATAATAATAGAAATAATTACCTCTGAACAAAGTTAATTCAGTATACATTTTGCTATTACTTTTCTCTTAAGTAAAATAATATCTATCACCCATGAATATTTTAAAGAGGTAGCTCTTTATTCTCCAGAGTAAACTATGTAAATTCCCAAGAACCAATAATTTCCATAATTATTAAACAAATATTATATCATAGTTTCTGAGCATTAGTCACAGAAAAACTCCTGAGATTAGATTGAGACAAAGTGTCATGCTTTACGTTTTTACTTTACTTGGCTAGGATTCTCTTATTAGAAACATACCTATTGTATTATTATTTTCAAGCAAAGAAAACAAAATTCCATTGTAAGTTGGGTCCTTTCACACTTAATATAAGCAAAAACTGTCATTTTTTCATTACTGTAAGCTGATTGAAAATTGAAACTGTGAACAATGTAGCTGTTCCAAATAATAGTTTAAAAAATAAAATTATTTTTTTCTTTGAATATATATTTTATTTATCAGAACTCACTAAAGGATTATATGTGGAAAGAATGTTGGTTTATAATTTAGAAACAACATTTTTTAGAGATATTTGCATTTGCAACATAATGGAAGTTGATCTCATAGTTGTAATTGTCAATAACTGTCTGCTGTGCTTGAGACTATATCTGCCCTTGCTCATTTCTCACTCTGCACTCCTGGGGAAGTGGAAGAACATTGGCCATGTCTCCTTTTGCTGGGCATAAGAAACATATATAAATAGATACGTTATAAATAGATAGTTTCAAGTAAATAATGTGTTCTCTTAAGCTCACAATGATGACTTTTATAATAAATAATTTCTACCATAACAAATGATTTCTTTGCATTATTGCAAATACAGATTTCAGCAATAACTGTTTTAGGTTCCTTTTCTAACACTGTGGATGAGCTAGAATGACTCTCTTTGTCCTCTCCTTCAGAGGTCTCTCCTGTCACCTCCTCTTTTTCTGTCTTCCCATTTAGCTTAGGGGTCTCCATTCTATAGGCTCTCTCACACCATTGTCACAGCTGCACTGTGATCCAATATAGACATTCTCTGTATGATAGCAACTCCTATTGAGTGCCAGCAGATACAAGTCCTGCAAGATGCCCAAAGAATAAAAGAGATCTATGGTCAATAGTGTAGCCATCTTACAGGGTCAGGATTCCATTCATATATTAAAGTCTTTGTGAGACTTGCAGTAATGAAACCTGTGATTAATCTATACTTCCCTAAATTACTTTATCATGTGTTTTAGAATAGATATTTCTAGTCTGAGAACCTAGTTATATTGGAATAGTTTGGGAAATGTCATGTTACTATTTGAACGATAAGAAGTTATCTCTTCATTTAGAAGAGGTAACCTAGACTAAGAATGATTGATATCACCCATCAGATTTCATCTGCTTAATTTTTCAGTTCTGTGCATTTAACAATAGAAAGTTTAAAACGAGCCATCCTTCAATGTGTTTAGCATTATAATAAAAGAACATAGGAAAGATATAGTCTACTGTTCTCATTTTACAGTTGTTGAAACTAAAGCCTAGAGAGAGGATATTAGTTGACCATGAGCACACAGCTTAGTTTAAAGTAGCTGAGATGTGAGTTGTTTTTTGTTTTATTTTCTTTTTGAGACAGGGTCTTGCTCTCTCACCCAGGCTGGAGTGCAGAGGTGTGATCATAGCTCACTGTAACCTCAAACTCCTGGGTTCAAATGATCCTCCTGCCTTAGCCTCCTGAGTAGGTGGGCCTACAGATGCATGCCACCACAACCAGCTAATTTAATTTTTTTTTGTAGAGATGGGGTCTTGTTAGGTTGCTCAGCTTGGCCTTGAACTCCTGGCCTCAACTGATCCTCCCACCATGTCCTCACAAAGAGGTGGAATTACAGGCATAAACCATGCACCCAGTCAAGATTGTGATCCAAATTCTTATTTTCCAATTCCAAATTTAGTGTCAAGTCTACAAGTTCAAACTACTTTCATTAAAAGAGAACCATAGTTACAATAATCTTGATAGAACCCACAGCTTTTTGTAAATGGTTTTATTTGTAGTAATATTTTTCTGTTTGTAATATGTTTCTCGTGAATCACATAGAAGCGCAGAAGCATTGAGAAAGCCCATGAAGCTGGGTTTTTGTACATTTGTGCATATAGCAGATTGAACCCCTCTTTTGCTATTTAATATAGTGTGAAGATTTCCCCAGTGCTGTACTTACTTTCCAAAAACATGATTGTTTCTTTAGACAATTTCCTATTGTTGTTTCCAAAGTTTTGCTATTTAAAACTGTATTTTACCAAACGTACGAAAAATGTAATTGCTGGGTCAAAGAATAACACCATTTCTAGGGTTTTTCTCTGTAATGACAAATTACACTCTAAAGTGTTATCAGTTTCATTCCTCTCAGTAGTGTATGAGAAGACACTTGTTTATTTTTTACAATCAAACATAGTATCTTCAAATTGTCCAGAATTCTGAGATTACTTTCTTTACTGTTGACTATGTAAAATAGTAACTTAAAATGCTTTTTATGCCTCTTGGATTTCTCCCTAATGTCCCTATTTCTGTTGATAATAATGAAGTTTTCTATTTATGATTTAAATTGCCATTATTATATATAAAACATCTGTTTGAAAGTTTAAATAAGATATTGTGTTAAGCTGAAAGGTAATATTTAAAAAAATCATTGAGCATTTACCGTATTTAACAAGGTTCCCAGTTTATCCTCTCTTCTTTTAAACCTGACTTTCTAGTACTTGAGATTTTCTTTATTCTTTCCTGGTTAGGTTAAGTATGCCTTTAACTGCTTTTTTTTTTCCTTGCATAAAGGATAGATAGCATGTCGAATAGTTGGAAAGAATTTGTATATGAGATAATAGCTTTCTATTGCTCCTATACATTGTCAAGTGATCAAGAATATGCTGGGTGCTCATTCTTGGTTCGTAGTTTTCTTTTTCTCAAAAGAGTGGAGTATTTTCATTTTCATTATTTTTTGGTGTCTGATTATATAGAAGTCAAATTTGAAGCAAGTCCAATTTGATCAAGTTCTTTTAACTTAATTTTTGGATACTTGTAGAATTTTTTAAATCTTGAAAAATTATTGCCATTATTTTAATAGGATTTACTTTTTGTTTCTTCATAAATCTATTTTTATGGTAGCTCTTGAGTTCTAAAACGTCAGTTTTCTTTAGCTGAGGAAAGTTATTTTTCATTTTTTTCTATGGTAACTGCACTTGTTCCATTTTGCTGTCTTTTTCAGATTTCTTTCTTATGTGAATTTGGTCTCTCAGATATGTTTTTCGTATCTCCCACTCACAACATTTTGTCTTGATCCTGCTGAATGGAGCTCAAGATGAATTCCTGCAGTTTTCTCTTTCATTTGGCTTTGCTAATAATTTAACTTAGTGTTTTTGATTTAACCCTTGGTGTTTTCCATCCAATGCAAGCATTTCATCTTCATGTTTACGTTTCATATTTCATAGAAGCAATATGATTATATGATGAATGCCAATAAATATTTAGTTATTATAGTATACAAGAGATAAAGGAAGGTAACACCAAAATGTTTTTCCTACAATTGTTTCAAAAATCTATTTTCTTGACTGTCCCTGCTTTCCTGCACTTCTTCTCGTAGGTTCACTGATTTTCCTGTTTGCTCACTTGGTTTCATGCATGTTGTGGCCGGAATGCATGTTTACTATGGAATGCATCTCTCCACTGTGTTTGGCAGCAACTCGAAACCCCTTCATTTAGCTTTTATGCTGGCTGTGGCTGTCTATTCTGAGGGAAGACTTAAGGGGAAGCCCTGAAACTATCTTTTCTGCTTCTTGTGATTACTTACTGATGGAAAAGGCTCCCTTGATTTAACTTGTGTTGGCTGTTCCTGGTACTGGCCTTTGCCTTACAGTTTAAGGATGCTGTTGAATATTAACATATTCTTTCAATTACTTCCTATGAGTGTCTGGAGATAGGAAGTAGTTGAATGTTGGGGTGAATGATAGACCACCCACTTCTGCAGGGTTCCTTGTGGGTCTTCAATATTCTAGTCCTACAGAATTCCTTGTACTTTCTGGTTCTTCATCAGTACCTTTTCTAGATACAGACCTTGATATTGTTTGTTTTGTTTTGTTTTGTTTGTTTGTTTTGTTTTTTGTTAAATTGGTCAATGCCATGCAACTGTGGTCAGAGGGACTGAAATTGTTTTCACATGGCTCTCTTCACTGGAAAGCCCTGGGTTAATCTGCTCATGATCCTTTACATCCAGCTCTGGAATTTTTTTTTCTTTATAATGCATAATGAATAGCTTTGCTAAAGAGGATTCTGCTTTCAAATTTCAAGAATAAAAAGAGGACATCTGTCTGAGTATTAACATGATGGAAATTTTTAAAAATATCACATAGTGTGTTAGCTCATATGTGACAAATAGATAATGCATCTCATGGCCATTAGGAACAGAATATTTGTCAGAACATTCTGTCTATTGTTTAAAGGCATTGGTGTAATGTCATAATATTTCTACAAGGTATGAAAATGTTGCACTGTGCATGTCTGAAGTCTATAGTGTATCCCTTAGACTCTTGCCATTTAGCTGAATTCTGGGGGAATGTTGCCAGTATCGTTGTTTCAAATGAGATAATCAAATGGCTTATGGAGCTCTATTTACCCCCATTCCACCCTCTGTCACAATATAGTAAGTTACTTATTGGAGCATATGCTTAATGAAAAATTAATAGCAATGCAATATGATATAATGGTGCAGGACTATATTCTGACTAGTATAAGATATTTACATATTTTTGCCAATTGGTCATTATCTTTTATTTCACATATCCATGATGAGTGCATATTTAGAAAATGAGAGAGTGCTTTCTGCTAATGTTTCTGATTATTAGTGATAGTGCTGAATTCATATGCTTACAGAGAGACTGAGAGGGAGAAGAAGAGGGGCTAGAGGAAGGAGGAGGCAGGAGAGAAAAGAAAGGGAGAGAGAAAGGAGGGAGAGGAGGAATAAGAGTGAGAATGTGAATTGCTGTGTGGGTGGGCCTGTGTATATGCAACACAGATGCATAATTTTGGAAGTCTGCATTTTCTATATCATCATTTTGGAACCTTACCAAGTAGTGCAAATGCTGTGATTTAGTTGAAACTAATTATGGGTACCTCTAAAATGGTATCTCACATAAATGTCTCATAGGCATGATTTGAAAAAAAAATAATTTGTTATTATTCTTCCTTGAAAGTCATGTATTTAAATTCTTTAATAAAATGGGTAAGGTTTCTGTGACTAGCCAAGATAAGGCTGCTTACACTTATGAATCTATAAGAGACTATACATTTCCTCACTCTTGCATGCTATTACCAGATGAATCATTCTATTTTGTATCTGGCGACTCATTCATCTGCTAAGAGACCTTCTGGGCCCCACAGTGCCTGCAGTGCACATGGAAGCTCTTTAGGCTGACATTCAGGGTCTCCTGTGATATGGTGCCTCTCTAACACTGTATCGCAGTTGACAGTTTGTGTGTGCTTTGGCCTCCAGCTAAGTCAAGCCCCTTGCCATTCTGAGTTATGACTGTGGGATTTCTGCCCTCCGTGCCTGTGCAGGGTCACTATGGGATGTCCTTCGCCTCCAGCCTTCTATGTCTAGATGCTGTGCATCTTTACACACTCAGCTCAGATGCCTTCTCCTCCAGGAATGGTCACCGCTGAGGCATCATAGTTGTTCTCCTTTTAACATGTAAACTGATGGAAGCCTTTACCTTCATGTCTCCTAAGACAGTGAAATGTGAAGCCTCAGCTATGTATTTGGAGGGCCCCGAATTCCAATTAGCCCAGTTATGTTGTCTTTGGTATGACACCTAATATCTCGGAGGCTCCGTTTCTTCATCTGTGAAATAGGGGTGATAATATGCATGTCACAGGGCTTGGGAAAATGAAGATGATGTCTGAGTCATGTGTAGCACAGTGCTTGGACCATAATCAATGTCAGATAAGCGCAGCATACTCTATGATTTTTATTAAGTGCCATTGCTCTCTCCTATAATGTGATTTATTTGTACGTAATGTCTCCCTAGCTGTGGGGTCCCTCATATTTGTCTATATGTCTGCCCCCCACCCCCCACCAAAGGCCCAACTTTTTTTTTTTTTTACCTCAAATATGCACAAAATTGAGTCTTTATTTTAGTACTCAGAAGACAGTGTAATTCCAGCCCAGTTTCTTCCATTATTTCCAGTACCTCTGAGCTGAGCAGGTCTGGGTGATTTGTGAGTCTTCATGTGTGATAATGTGTAGCCTCTACTTCAACTGTCTTCTAGGTGGCAAGAACTTCTGGCTTCCTTCCCTGAAGAGACCAGCTGAAGTTTGAAGCTCCGCACTCTCAAAGAGCTTGACAGTTGCAAGGATATTTTCAGTGTGATAAAGGGCGTAGTTTCCATTGGCTGATTTTAAGAAGTAATACACATGGAATGTGATTAAACTTGTGTCTTCTGCTTATCAAACAGGTGGACTTTTAAGCTAATCTAGAGAGTTGAGCTGGTTAGCATTTATCTACATTTAATCAGATCTAATGTTGGATAGTTCTACTTAGACATGTTTCTCTATATGACTCTAGACATTCCCTCCTGTGGCTAGAAATCAACCTCTTTATAATCCTGCCTCCCAAACTGGCCACTCTGATTCTAGGAACTTTGTGGTATGCTGTTGTCTTCATGTCCTCAATTCTCCACACTGCTGTGTAGTGTGGACCAGTGGACATCTCATGGGTCTTTGGAGTCAGACAAACTGGGCCGCAGAGTCGATGTTGATATTACTGAACACTTCTCAGTCACAATGTCCTCATCTGGGTAAATAAGGCTAATATTGTCTACTGCTAGGACTGTTGTAAAGGAATAAATGATGCACAAGTGTTATGTGATAAAACAACGTGTGTGATAGATAGAGGACCCAATGAATGTTAATCATCTCCTCTATGCTTTCTCTCCTTTTCTCACAACTAAACATCATGAGAAATAAGTCTAGCCAAAAGGATAAGCATATATCTTAAGTAGGGCTTCCCTTTTACCTGTAAACATCCTCACTTTTTAAAAAACATAGCATGAAAACTTTGTGTGTGTGTGTCTGTTGCCCAGGCTGGAGTGCAGTGGTTTGATCTTGGCTCACTGCAACCTTCGCCTCCCAGGTTCCACTGATTCTCCTGTCTCAGCCTCTCAAGTAGCTGGGATTACAGGCGCCCACTGATTTTTGTATTTTAATAGAGATGGGGTTTCACCGTGTTGGTCAGGTTGATCTCAAGCTCCTGGCCTCAAGTGATCTGCCTGCCTCAGCCTCCCAAAATGTTGGGTTTATAGGCGTGAGCCACGGTGCCTGGGCGGCAAAGTGTTTTTAAAGAGAAATACCTTTTTAGATTCCAAAAATATTTACTACTTGAATGATTATTGACAGTAAACAGCCATCATTTACGTGAAAGGTAAAACATGTGCTTTATTTTATTTTTTAAAACATGTTCTTACGAGACCTCAAGGCTCAACTGACACTTTTTTAAAAGAGACAGTAGAAATTGAAGAAAACGATAAAATTTAAGAAGAACGATTTCTAAAACTTATCCCAAAATCATTGAAAGAAGTACGTTGGTGTTTTCAACTAAGTTATTTTGAAGAATTGAGATCATTCTAGACAATCACAGTCTTGGCCACATGAGCAGTTAAAATTAATACAACATGGCTATGATAATGACATTTTATTATATTAATTACAGTGAAAATGTATTGTTCAAGAAAATATTTTCTCTAGGAGAGGTCAGGTCATTTTGTAAAAAATGTTCAAGTTTGTAATGAGACTACATAACTTCTTATGTTTGTTTCTTTGGGAGTCGTAACAAAACCTTAAGAAATGAGATCTTCATTACAAATAGATTCATATGTGCTCATAAGAAATCAATTTCCTTTATGCCTTTAACAACTAGCAGATGAGAATAAAATGGAATAAAACTATGGTTATGCTTTAAAGTACTGGCAATAGTTTTAACAAATGAGACTTCATTTACGTCTTCAATATATGTATATTGTTAATTTATTATCTCTAAGTAACACAGAAATTCATGTGAGTCCAGTGTAGTGGGAGCTGAGACACAGGGAGTATAAACTGAATCCAGACACTTGCTTCAGTCAAGTATTTTTAGATAGTTGCCTTAGTCACATGATCCTTGTCTGGACAGTATTAACTTCCTTTGCTGATATCTATTCTAAATGATACATTTTGGGAACATAATCATGCCTAACCCAGCAGTGAAACCCTATCCAAACATATCAGTTTGAAAATTGGTAAGGAAGATGCTGGATAATAAAATGTAGATATATTTTAGTTCCTAATGAGCTAAGTTATGTTTCTGGTTGTGTTTTACAAATTATTCATAATTACCCTTTGGGAATTAGTTTACCTAAACTTTAAAGAACACACATTTCCAATTATCAATAAAATTTAAGTAGCATAGAAAAAGATTGTATATACATTTTTGAATTGATCCTTCCAGAAATCTTATGAAGTAGCCGTTCTTATGTCCATTTGGACAGAAAACAATTATGGTATTTAGGGAAACTAAGTAATGTATCAAGGTCATGTATACAGCTGCTTTTTTTTTTCCTTCTTGGCCACATAATGTCATTTTGGAGTTGTGAGCCATGGGGTAACATTGTCAGGTTTGTAGCGTAGATTAATTTTTCTGGCAGAAATGTGAATGGTCAATTTGTGAGATCCAAGACTGGAAGCAGGGTCATGTATCACCCTTAGCTCCTATCTTTCCATCATAGCCCATGTCCCACACATCAGGAAAGCTGTTAGCTATAATTTGAACATGTATCAACAAGTCAACTTACTTATGTAAGGCCACTGCCTGTATCTTCCTGGCTTCAGCCTGTCAACTCCTTCCTTCATATACAGTAGCCTCCTAATTTATTCACAAAATGCTCCAAAATGAATATATTAACTTACTAACCTTACGACTGTAGCAAATACTAACAGTTGAGTAGGAAATTTACTTAATAGGCAGCTTGAAAGAAAATTCAAGTCAATGCAGTACATTTCTGCTGCAAATCATTTCTGTTGCAAAATTACTCCATTTGATTCTTGTTTTTCAGTGGTCTTGCCAGAACAAAGTTGCTATTCTGGGTTTGTTTTTTCTCTTTTAAAATAATTTTATTCAATTTATGAATTTGTTTCAGTTTTTAATAGAATACCCTGACAAACATTGTATGGAAATTCCAAACTAAAACTAAACAAACATTGCCGTGTTTTCAACTGTTTCTTTTTTATACTGCTCTGAAGAAGAAAACAATTCTCCCTGAACAAATTCCTATTACAATGAAGGCAAAGATCATGTTTTAAAAATATTTACTGCCACTATTTGAAGAAAACTTCTAGGATTGTTGTTCGGGCTCATACATTTTTAAAAAAGGAAAGTGTAAGAGAAAAAAAAAAAAAAAGCAAAGGAAAGGCTGGTCATGGTGGCTCACGCCTGCAATCCCAGCACTTTGGGAGGCCAAGATGGGCAGATCGCTCGAGGTCAGGAGTTTGAGACCAGCCTGGCCAACATGGTGAAATTCCATCTCTACTGAAAATATAAAAATTAGCTGGGTTTTGTGGTGGGCATCCATAATCCCCGCTACTTGGGAGGCTGAGGCAGGAGAATTGCTTAAACTCAGGAGGCAGAGGCTGCAGTGAGCTGAGATTGTGCCATTGCACTCCAGCCTGGGCGACACAGTGAGACTCCATCTGAGGAAAAAAAAGAAAAAGAAAAAAGGGGAAACGAGGAAAGAAGGAAAAAGAAGAGAGGAATGAATGAAAATGGAAAATAGAGGACAGGGAAAAATAAATGAAAGCTTACCTTACTACGCAAGTGCCCTATTTTCTACACATAGGAAAGCTAATGAATTGTTAGTCTTGTTTTTTAAACTTGGAAAACTTAAGTCACTTTTTTTGTACTGATATTTTCCTGATTTCAAAAAAAGTTACCCAAATTAAGAAGCTAAGAGGAAAATGTATTTCCAGTTAACTGAAATATTAAGTTGAGCAATCATTTCATATAGGATCTGCGTTCATGTAAGTGCATGTAAATGCTCTCAGGGTAGATGTATGTTTGGGACCTAATAAAGTTTCCTCCTCTGGTTTTAGAAACAGGTTAGGATCACAAAATCATGATACAACTAACAACTTCAACAATCATCCTCCTTTGTTTGGAGCCCATTGCAAAACCTCTTCATAAAATTGAACCCATACATATAGTATGATGCTTGCAAATCTGAAAAATCCCTTTTTGGACAAACTAACTCATCTTGCAAAACTTCCTACCTGGAGTTTCCTCTCAGTAATCCTTAACAGGACCAAACATCCCTAATTGTATAAACTAAAGAAAATTAAGACTAGCAAGACTTCACATTGACCCCAGAATTATTTCTAAAGTTGCCAAATACGTTTTTGTCTTTGTGTCTGTAGCAAATCTCTTACTCTTGGGACCTCATTACCTGAGTCCCAGGACACCTCAAACTTCTCTGAAAAGCCAAATTGCCTTACCATGGGCCTGTCGAGAATTCCTGTCCCTCTTCAATATTTGTCTTACCTTTGATTCCTGTTTTATTCAACTTTAATGAATCCTACTGTCTCTTCATGGACCCACTATCCACACCTGTGGAGTCTGGGAACGTTCAATGTGGTAGAAAAATGTAAAATTTTTATTTATATAAAAACAGAAGACTTGTAATTCAGCAGCTGTGCAGTGTTTTTCTAGCAACTGTGTGCTCTTTTGCATTTGGTACAGTATAAACTTCTAGTTTGTTCTGCTGTCATGGAACATGGTCCCAGTAAACCTTCCTGAGGTCAGCAACTTGGACCTTCTGCTGTCTAGGTCCCATGCTTGGCGTAGTGTGGATAATAATGTTAAATATTATATGGTTTTGGCTTCACTGAGCCATATCAGAACATTCACAAATAGCTGTCATACAAATTCCTGCTTCTTATTGCCCCTTTTCCACTGTGCATAGATGCAAGAAAATAGTTTCATGGCCAGGTGCTCTTTGTTTCAGCTTCCTTTGTTTCTCCCAAGGCTGCATGGCAAATGTATGATTTGTTCATTCTTTTAAAAAAAATTGAGTGCTAAGTGCCAGGCATTATGAATGTATGTATGCTTGGAAGAGGGGGAGAGCAGTGTTATTATCTAACTCACATTTTGAAAAGATCACTCTGATTGCTTTGTAGAAAATGGTAAGGGGTGTTGAGGAGGGGTGCTGATGTGTCTGGACAAGTAAAAACATTCCCTAGTTGTGATTAGTTCAAAAGGAAGCTTAATAGTCTAAGAAATAAATGTAAGGTATTAGTTTGAAAAAAGGTCATGCTGATTAATTGCATGTGCAAGGGGAGGGGAAAAGAGAGGGGAGATTTCTTGATTTATGGGTAGGTGGCCTTGTGTTTAGTTAGGAACACTGGGAGAGGAATGGCTCATGGGCAGAATCATGAGTTTGGAAATATTATGTTTGAGGCTCATTTAAGATACACAATTGGAGATGTCAAACAGGCAACTGAATATATTTAATATGAGCCTTGATCTGGATAATTCTTTAGAGGAGTTAAACATTGGGGTTTTTATAGAATATAAATTGTATTTAACCTAGTTTTTGAAAGCATCTAGGATAGAATACAGATTAGGAAGAGGATGGGTTCCAGGACTGAGCCCAGAGATTCCTCAGGTAAAGTAAAGAAAGAGAAGGTAGGACTAAGAGACTGAGGAGTGAACCGTGAGGTTGCTGGAAAACCAGGAGACTGTACTGTTTCAGAAGCCAATAGATTCATGCATTTTAAGAATGACAGAGTGGCCAGTTACATTGAAGGCTGTTTAAAGTCGAGAAGGATGCTTGGAATGTGTCCATTAGATTTGGCAACATGGAAATTGCTGGTAACCAAAATGCCAGAGAAGGTTTATCAGAGTGGCTGCTGCTGTTGAAGCCAAAGTGGGAGTGATCTGAGTTGCTGATGGGAGTGTCTGTTGACCTATCTTTTGAGAAGTTTGGCTAAGGGCAGCAGAGAAATAGCATGGTTGATGGAGGGGCTACGGGGTAAAGGAAGTTGCTGTGCCTTAAAAATGACACCTTAGAGCTGGGTGTGTTGGCATGCACCTGCAGCCTCAGCTACTCCGGAGGCTGAAGTGGGAGGATCGCTTGAGCCCAGGAGTTCAAGTCCAGCCTGGGTGCTGTAAGGATACCTGACTGAAAACACACACACACACACACACACACACACACACACACACACACACACAGATACCTTAGAGCAGCATTTATTAAACCGCAGTTTGTGAACCATAAGTGGTCTTAAAATATTTTTATTGGGTTGCAATAATCATTTAAAACATTAATTGGAGTAAAAGAGAAAATAGGGTACATGCCATGTGGTAAAGGTAAGAATTTTATTTTTGTGGACTATATTATTATGAAGAATTTACAAATAGTTACATATCTACACACATATACTGGTGTATATTGGATTGTAATATAAAATGTATTTCTTCACGTGAATTACGGTTTTAAAATTTGAAGGCCATCAAACTAGGGAATGTTTGCATGCTGATAGGGATAATCTAGTAGAGAGAAAGAAACTGATGACACAAGAGAGTGGGAAAACCAAAGGTGTAAAGTCCTTGAGCAGAGTGAAGAACTTTTCACACAATCTTCTCTCTTTTCTCATTTATTTACCATGTGGCTTCCAGGTAGTCATCATCAATCTAACCGTAACTGAACAAATCCCATGTTTCTGCAGGTATGTGCGGCAGTGCTGATGTTTTTGTCAACAGCAATGATTTGACATCAGCACTGGGCTTTGGTTTAAATTGTTTCCTCTCTCCTTTTTCTAAATGTGTATGTTAAAGTTCTAACCACCAGTACCTCGAAGTATGACTATATTTGGAGATAATGTCTTTAAAGAGGTAATTATATTAAAATGAGGACGTTAAGGTGGGCCCTAATCCAGTATGATCAGAGCCTGTATGAGAAGTCTGGACACAGGCAGGCACAGAAGAAAGACCATGGGAAGACGCTGGGAGATGATGGACGTCTGTGAGCCAAGGAGTCTTCAGAAGAAACTGGCTCTGCTTACAACTTGATCTTGGACTTCTAGCCTCCAACATTGTTGAGAAAATGAATTGCAGTTGTTTAAGCCACTAAGTCTGTGGTGTTTTCTTACGGCAGCCCTAGCAAATGAGTACATACTGTCATGCTTGTTATTTGATTTGGCCTTTGATTGTTACAACAGCCTGAGGTGTGGAGGACCAGAATTATAAATGCCAGTTTACAGATGAGAACACTGAGATGAAGAGATAAATGACTGACCGAAGGTCAGGGATCAAAATAGCTAGTAAGTGATACACAAAGTGTTGTAGATCTTTTCCAAGTGTTGTTTCCTTGGCAAAAGCCTTGGTGGCAGGCCCTGTAGTCATGGCCTGCCTGTAGTGGTAGATATGACTCTATGCTGGTCCATTAATTAGTGCCAAAAGCTACATTTCTCTGCAAATATAGATTCTAGTGTGTTCTGAAATAAGACTTACAACACTTAAAAACTTAAGGATGCCTAGTGATGAAATATATTAACATTTTTTAACCATCACTTTTATGTAGCCCATGAAATTATACAGCTCAATAAACATTTGAAAGTTTAGTCTCTCAATGAGAAGTGATAAAATTTGACCCGTGCATGAAAAGAAGACAGCTGATTCTTTAAAGCCTTTTTGAAGAGCTATGACATTTCTGTAAACATGCACCAAGGAATATCTGAATAAAGCAATAATCGATCAACTAACATTGTGTTGGTTTCCTGATACAAACACCTGAAGTGAATGATACCAGTAAAGTTACCATCCTTTTTTCTGCAATGCTTTTTAGGTCATTTTAATTTTAAGCTACATGCTCTTAACTTGAATTTTAAACTTCTTAATGGAATGTACTTACAATGAATAAATGCTCTGAGTGACACTTAGAGTTTGCAACACGTTTAGCATGTTGTGCTGATTCACTAACGTACGCTTTCTTTCAGATTACTTTTACTAAGTAAAAGTAGTCTACCCTTACACTGGTGAATAAGACAATATTTCAAAAAATTCCTAAGGTAACATAGAGGAAATGTGTATTTTGTGTGTGTGTGTGTGTGTGTGTGTGAATCACCTTTCAGTATAATGAGAAATTTTATTTCACCTTATGAAAACACATGAGTTTTTTTAGCATACAAACTTAAAGATCAAATTTTTAGGTTGTACGTTGTGTCTGTCTTCAGCTGTGTAATGCTAAATAGATCTTCAGGTTACCATCTTATCTATTATGCATTTGATTCTGTTTTCCCACATTCTAAAATCAGTCAGATTATTGATTTTTACAATCTAAAGAGGATAATATGTTAGCTGATTATTTTCATAATTTGTGATTTCCTGATTATTAGTGAGATTATTAGTGAGACAAAGAGATCTTTGACATATTTATTGGCCATTTGAGTGTCTTATGTCAACTGTCTATTCATATAACTAGCCTGTTTTTCTATTTATTTTTATTTTCTTACAATTGAATTTATCCGTTCCTTTTGCATGTTGTATGATACTCCATTTTACCTGTGAGATTTGTAACTATCTTCTTCCAACCTGTGGCTTTCTTTTTACTTTGCTTATAATGTATTTTATCTTATAAAAGGTTTCAGTATTAATATGTTCAAATATGTTTATTTTTCTTTTATGCTTTTTTCTTTTCTGTTTCTATCTTTATATCATCAATATAGTCTCTACGTAATAATTTGAAAGTTAAATATTTGTTTACCTGATTTAAGTTATTAATCCCATCAGAAGTTACTTTTTTTGTTTTTGTTTGTAGATAAGGAGTTATCTGATTTTTTTTCTTTCTCTGTATGGTTAGCCGGTTATTTCTGCACCATGTATTGGATAGTCTATCTTTTGCTCAGACATTTGTCATAGGCTGTATCCTAAGCTCTCATTGGTACCTGAGTTTATTTTAAGGTCATTTATTCTGTCACTTTTGTTCCTGTGTCTATTCCTTAAACTATATACACTGTTTAATTTCTGAAGCTTTTTAGTAAAGGCTTATATCAATTAAGCTAAGTTCTCTATTCATTCACAGCAAAATTTCCTTGACAGATACTGATCTGTAACTTTTCCATGTATATTTTAGCAAAAAATTGCCATCTTCCTTGAAAACACTAATAGGATTTGGTTAGAATTGCTTTGATTTTATATATTTATTTGTAAGAATTGCCTTAAGGACATTTGGGCATATGAGCATGATATATAGCTCGTTTGCTTATGTCTTTTTATGGCATTCAATAGAATTATTATTTTAATCTAAAAGTCTTACCTACATGTTTACTATTAATAGATTTAGTTATAACTGTCATTGTGCTATTATAAAAGTAACTCTTTAAAATCAAATTTTCTTTTTTCTTTTCTTTTTTTTTTTTTTTTGAGACAGAGTCTTGCACTGTCGCCCAGGTTGGAGTGCAGTGGTGTGATCTTGGCTCACTGCAACCTCCACCTCCCAGGTTCAGGTGATTCTCCTGCCTCAGCCTCCCAAGTAGCTGGGACTACAGGCGCACGCCACCATGCCCAGCTAATTTTTATATTTTTAGTAGAGACGGGGTTTCACAATGTTGGCCAGATGGTTTCGATCTCTTGACTTTGTGATCTGCATGCCTCGGCCTCCCAAAGTGCTGGGATTACAGGCGTGAGCCATCAGTGCCCGGCCTAAAATCAAATTTTCTAACAGTTTGCTGCAGATGTGAAGGAATATTACATGGATATATTTAGTATATAGAAATCTTGCTGAATAATTTTATCCATTATAATCATTTATTTATTGATTTTCTTAGATTATGTGGGTAAATGTGGATAAATTATATAATTCTTAATTCTTTTAATCCTTCTACATTTTATTTTTGTGCTATTTTACTGTAGTAGATATTTTCAATACAATGAAGACTAGAAGTTTTAAAACCAGGATAGCAACCTCATGGGCCTATTTATGAAACAATACCTATTTATATGCTACAACTTTTTCACCTGTTATCGTGAATGACAATTGACATCTAACAATGGGAACCATAAACACTGTTGAGCTCTAAATGCTTTCCCAGTGCATTAAAAAAATTAAATTGACTTTCTTTTTCATTCTTTTTCTCTACCTCTCTCAGAAACAACTTCTATTATTTACTCATTATTATCTTATTCCCTAATTTTTTTATTTTATTCAACAGATACTTACTGATTGCTCACCAATTTGCCAGGCACAGCTGGTTTTGGGGGGCATTCCATGATGAATAAAAGTAGCAAGATCCCATTTCTCATGAGGCTTCTGGATTAACAAGGGAGACATGCATTATATAGAAAATTACATAATGGTTATTTCCTTACAATCCGATGGTTACTCTGAAGCACAAGTGTAGCATGCTGTCAGAGTGCTTAGAAGATCGGGAGGGAATAGTGCTAATACATAGTTTGGAAGGTCAGGGAAAGACATCTGAACTTGACCACACTATTGAGTATGAGTTCGACAGGCAAAGATGGGACCTTGAGCATGTAGAATACTCCAGTGACAAGAGTAGATGTAAACAAAATAGCTCTAAAAATAGTGTTCAGTGAAAAGTGATTTGCTATAAATATTACATAGGTGTGCTAAATAGAAAAATAGAAAAATGATTGAGGACAGCAAATATCTGTTGAATGTCCCTATTTGGAAGGTATTTAATATATCACTCTGAATTGTTCTCTGGTTAATTAGGAAAAGTAAGTTTAACCAAGGGGAGGGCAATGGATGTTGGTACAGAGCTATTCAAGATCATGGCTACCTGTGTACTTGCCTCATGCAAGACCTGTCACCCATTGGAACTTCCATCATTTTTTCTCTGGATCCATTTCTGGTAGTCTCTTTATTTTGATCTCTATTTTTCCTTGGTACCCATGAGGAACACAATTTGAATAAAAGAAAAAAATGTATTCATAATTTAGAAAATGATTTTATTGGACCCACTAACATCACCAGGAAGAATGCAATGCAATATTGGCGGTGGGCATTTTGGTTAAGACTGGGTTGGTCATTTTAATACACCCTTTCAGCCAGTATTCAGAGCAAGGCATGTGCTTGCCTAGACTTCACATTTTAGAAAAGCCAGGGCCTATATATGGAGAGTTCTTTTTTGTCAGTCTCATGAAATGAAGTGCTGCAGTTTGCATTTTTCCTATTCAGTTTCAAGTATGAACTTGATTTTAAAATTTAACTACAGTTTCGTTAAGATGTACTACAACTCCCAGCTAATTATGTAGATGTATCAAATATGTATTTTATTTAAAAGCCGTATTACTATTTTGCTTTTATCCATCAATGATTCTTGGATAAAAGGTGGTAATAAAATGTTAATGTGTATTTAGTCATATGCAAAAAAGTACTATAGAAATTTCTGAGGTGTACAATGACATGCATTATTGCTTCCATAAGCGTAAGAAAACTCAGAATGACAAGTCTACACAAGCTAGGTTTCTTGTTCATCCAGGGGTGGCTTGCTTTGTAACCTTTTCCTGAATAGTAGACTAGGTACTGTCTTCCTTTTATTTCCCCTATAAATTAGTTGCAGTGTTCTTGGGGTCCTTAGGGACTTCAGGTGGTTGAGCCTTTCACCAAGCATACATACCTAGTCTGTGAACAGAAGTCTAGGACTCTGGAAAGCACTGAGGGCAGAGATGCTTCCAGTCCTGTCCTTACACGACTTCCCCTGCCAACCTCCTCTCTTCCCTCAGGTATTTTTCTTAGTGCGTTAAAGATATTTCCTTTTACACTAAAGGAAGTCCAGTGAAGGTTGCACAGTGTGCAGTGGTGCACAAAAACAAAAACACAAAAAAGGGATGCATGCACTCTCAATAGAATTTTACATGGAAATTGGGAGAAGAGGACTCCATCTTTCTAGGGGACAATAATGGACACTGGCCAAAAGCAGCTGAGTGAGAGCTGAGACCAAATCCCTGGGATCAGACCTTTCAGCCCCAGCCATGCCTCCTTTGGGCATTTGCCTTGTGGAAGACTGACAGCTCCTCAGTCAGTATAGAGGGCCAGAGACACAGCGCAGTATAGAAGCACATGTATTATGACCTGGTCATGCCACCAATATGTGAGCTGTGCTTTTCTTTGACATTTTTCATTACTCAGTGAAAGAAGTAGAAGCCATGCTTGTCTTTTCTCTGCCCTGGAGAAGTGGAGATAACAAGGGCTCAGCCTCATGAGATCTGAGATGTAGGGCAGACTGTGTCCACAATGCAGAACTTCAGTGAATAATTAAAAATGAGGGCACTTTCTAATGGTCTAATTGAGCACACGGTGAAGGAATTTCCAATAAGTTATGTTTAACCATCAAGTGACATTATAAGAAGAAAGAATTTCATCTTTATTTTATAGGTGAGAAAGCTGAGCCTTGGAGTGGGTAAGCCATTGGCCAAGGTCATAAACAAGTGTGTCCAATTCCAAACCTAAGCTCATAATGAGTACACTGTGCTGTTGTAAAAGGGGCCGTCTCTCCCTCTTTCAGTCTTAATGGGAGAAATATTTAAAGGCATCTTTGTGAGAAAGTTTTCTGCAAAATATAATGTGGTTTGAAAAATATGAGTTACTGTGTTAGGTTCAGATTGTTAAGACTTTCTTTTAATGTAGAAGGTGTAGTGTCTATAACCATTAATTTGTGTTGCACCCTCCCTTTTGTGAAGCTTATTAATAAAACAGTCTGCTACTCCATCCTCCAATTCCTGTACTTCCAGTGTTCAAGTCTGCTGATCATCTACTGCCTAAAAAGTTTTCCCATAAACAGGAAAGGTTCCAGAAGTGACTTTATCAACAAAAACGCTGCTTCTTGCTGCTACAATTTCCTGAATTACAAGGCACAGATGGACATTAATTGGAGCGGGTGTTTTGAGAGCCAGCACTACCTGCCTCACACTGCTGAGGGATATAGAGGTCTCTATTCCTTTCTAAGCACAGGACTCAGGAAGTATTCTGGAAGCAGCTCAGAAACTCAGGGTCCTGCAGGGATGTGCCTCTTTTGGAAGGGCAAGAAACCTCACTGATGAACAGAAGCCCCTCAACTTCAGATTGCAACCTCTTCTTGTGACACATGAGACGCTTCTTAAGATTTCAAAACAAAACTTGGTTTCCAGAGGGCAGCTAGTGAGCTCATCCTGTTTGGAGACCCAGGCTGTGTCTTATCTGTGTCAAATAGGTAATATTTTGACAGAAGTGTTTCCAACTAGCCCACCTCATACATAGAATATTGTACTGCATTGGTCTGTTGTCATGCTGCTAATATAGACATACCTGAGACTGGGTTATTTATAAAGGAAAGAGTTTTAATGGACTCACAGTTCCACATAGCTGGGGAGGCCTCACAATCATGGTGGAATGAAAGGAGAAGCAAGCCACGTCTTAAATGATAACAGGCAAGAGAGCTTGTTTAGGGGAACTTCCATTTATAGAAGCATCACATCTCATGAGACTTATTCACTATTACAAGAACAGTATGAGGACACCCACGCAGCGATTAAGTTATCTCCATCTGGCCCCACCCTTGACAAATGGGATTATTACAATTCAAGGTGATATTTGGGTGGGGACACAGAGCCAACCATATCATTCCACCCCCGGCCCCTCTCAAATCTCATGTCCTCACATTTGAAAACACAATCATGCCCTTCCAACAGTCTCCCAAAGTCTTAACTTATTCCAGCCTTAATCCAAAAGTCCAACAGTCCAAAGTCTCATTTGAGACAAGGTAAGTCCCTTCCACCTATGAGCCTGTAAAATCAAAAGCAAGTTAGTTACTTCCTAGAAACAATGGTGGTGCAGGCATTGAGTAAATGCCCCCATTCCAAATGGGAGAAATTGGCCAAAACATAGAGACTACAGTCCCCATGCAAGTCTGAAATCCAGCGGGGTAGTCAAATTTTAGAGCTCCAAAATGATCTCCTTTGACTCCATGTCTCACATCCAAGTCATGCTGACGGAAGAGATGGGTTGCCGTGGTCTTGGGCGTCTCCACCCCTGTGGCTTTGCAGCATTTATCCACCTTTCCAGCTGCTTTCAGAGGCTGGTGTTGAGTGTCTGTGTCTTTTCCAGATGCACAGTGCAAGCTGTCGGTGGATCTATCCTTCTGGGTTCTGGAGGATGGTGGCCCTATTCTCATGGCTCCACTAGGCAATGCCCCAGTGGGGACTCTGTGTGGGGGCTCCAACTCCACATTTCACTTCCCACACTGCCCTAGCAGAGGTTCTCCGTGAGGGCCTCGCCCCTGCAGCAAACTTCTGCCTGGATATCCAGGTATTTCCATACATCTTCTGAAATCTAGGTGGAGGTTCCCAAACCTCAGTTCTTTACTTCTGTGTACCCACATGCTCAACATCACGTGGAAGCTGCCATGGCTTGGGATTTGCACCCTCTGAAGCCATGGCCTGAGTTGTACCTTGGCCCCTTTTAGCCATGGCTGGAGTGGCTGGGATGCAGGACACCAAGTCCCTAGGCTACAAAGAGCAGGGGGACCCTGGTCCCAGCCCATGAAACCATTTTTTCTGCCTAGGGCTCTAGGCCTATGAAGGGAGGAGCTGCTGTGAAGACCTCTGACATGCCATGGAGACATTTTACCCATTGTCTTGACAATTAACATTTGGCTCCTCATTATTTATGCAGATTTCTCAGCTGGCTTGAATTTCTCCTCAGAAAATGGGTTTTTCTTTTCTATCACATTGTCAGGCAGCAAATTTTCCAAATTTTTATGCTCTACTTCCCTTTTAAACATAAGTTCCAACTCCAAACCATATCTTTGTGAATACATAAAACTGAATGCATTTGACAGCACTGAAGTCACCTCTTGAATGCTTTCCTGCTTAGAAATTTCTTCCACCAGATACCCTAAATTATATCTTTCAAGTTCAAAGTTCCAGAGATCTCTAGGGCAGGGGCAAAATGTGACCAGTCTGTTTGTTAAAGCATAAAAAGAGTCACCTTTGCTCCAATTACCAAAAAGTTTCTTATCTTCATCTGAGACCACCTCAACTTAAGCTTCATTGTCCATACCACTGTCAGCATTTTGGTCAAAACTATTCAACAAATCTCTAGGAAGTTTTAAACCTTCCCACATTTTTCTGTCTTCTTCTGAGCCAACTAAACTGTTCCAAACTCTGCCTGTTACCCAGTTCCAATGTCACTTCCACATTTTTGGGTATCTTTATAGCTGCACCCCACTCTACCAGTACCAATTTAATGTATTAGTTTGTTCTCATGCTACTAATAAAGACTTAACCAAGACTGGGTAATTTATAAAGGAAATTGGTTTAATGGACTCACAGTTCCTCATGGCTTGGGAGGCCTCACAAGCATGGCAGAAGGCAAGGAGGAGCAATCACATCTTACATGGCAACAGGCAAGAGAGCTTGTGCAGGGGAACTCTCATTTATAAAACCATCAGATTTTGTGAGATTTATTGACTATCAGGAGAACAGTATGGGGGAAACCACTCCCATGATTCAATTATCTCCACCTCGCCTTGCCCTTGACACATGGGGATTATTACAATTCAAAGTGAGATTTGGGTGAAGACACTGAGCCAAACCATATCATAAACTTATATGGCATATGATGGGAAACTTTTATTTTTCCATCACAAGTAGAGTGGTAATATATACAAAGAGAAAATGGGTATCAGGTATTGGCAATTTTTATTTTCATTGTTCATTTACATATGAATTTTTAGTATAAATTTGGAGACTTTAAGTATTCATGTCAGAAAAAAATATTTCAGTGAATAAGTTTCAGAAATTCAACGTCGTATGTTTTTTTTCTTTTGCAAGGTCAGACTGTAGATTCCTTTAAAAAAGGACTTTTTATTGATAGAAAATGTGTTTATAGAATTTTAAAATAGTATATTCTGTTCATTATCTCTAATTTTCTCACTCTGCTATACTACATGCAATTATATGTCTAATGTTATTTATGTTTATTTATATAAATTTGCTGTTAAAATATATTCAATTCCCTATTCCTCTAAAAAGAACAAAAATAATGACAATTTATTCGTATTTTTTTTCTTGGCTATGAACTCAAATAGATGAAATGTTATATAAATTAACAAACTTTAATAGCACGTATTGGTGATGTGCAAGTCAATAGTTCTCAGGCATTTACCTTCCTAGCACTTTCCTATTTGCTGAGAGTAGAAGCGTTTGGGAGAAATATACAGGATAGTACATGCTTTTCAGGAACTCACACCTAGCTGGAAGGGCATACCTACCACAGTGGAAACAGTCAGAGAAAAATCCATCTTGGAATGTGGGAAAATGATTGTAGCTCTTGAGGAATTTAGAAAGGGAGAGATCTTTAGGGGCTGGGAAATGACAAGTTACTAATATGTAGACTGGGCAGTTCCTCTGTGCTACTTCCATAAGCAAGTGCTTTATACTCACACTGTTGCATGTAAACTCCTCAACATTTCTGTGATAGAGGTACTGTGAGATGTTCCTTTCACAGAAGAAACTGAGGCCAAAAAAGTAATGTGACTTACCCAAGGTCCCACCTGTCATAAGTGGCAGGCTCAGGCCTCATTTACATGGAATTGGTGTTTTTAACCATCTCTGTTCTCTTTGCAGTGGTTGTAAGTGCCTCGGCAATAAAATAGCTAAACACCATCACAGAGTGTATAGAGTTCTCATGGGCTAGGCATTGTTTCAAGTGTCTTTTCTTGTGTTATCTCACTTCATCCTCATATAAGCCCTATGGATCACAGAGAATTATGTGCCTTGCCTAAATCTGTCATGCAAGCAAGAAAGATTTGTGTTGGAATTGAAGAACGGGCATGATGTTGATGAACATTTGGGATGAGGCACAAGTGTTTGAATGGGCTGATCTCTCTGAAACTGGCAGAGGCAGGGTGAAGGTGCTGGCTTCAGGCAGGAAGGAGGCCAGACTGTAGGGCAGATTCTCATTTTTGAACTAAAGGCATGCAGTAGGAAACCTGAGATTTATTCAGAGGAGCCTAGAAATAACAGGCTAGAAAGAGGAAGGGAGGAATGGAGAGCCCTTAGACAATTGAAAGACTAAATTGGCCAGCAAGGAACAGAGATTTCCCATTCTACAATGGGAAAGAAAGATGTGGTCTAAGGTCTGTGTTAATGAAGAAATGCTGGATTCTGCAGTAAGCTTTCTGGGAGTCTCCACTCCATAAGCGGGAAATGTAGGAATTTGTATGCTTTAATCAAGTATATTTCTCAAGACCACATCAGAAGTTTTTCTTTTGTAGAGTCTGCATTGAAATCATCATATAGTTTAAGAAACTCACTTCGAGGTAGGGACAACAATGTTGTAGTTAGCATTGACTTAAAATGTGAGAAGCGCAAATGTAAAAATTCTTACTTGGGTTCTCTAAAAAAGAAAGTATGATAATTGATTAATGTATGAGCAGATGAACCTTCACCAGATTTTGAAAGCAAACCTTTGGAACATGTAATGTATTTGAAGATACTTTTCTAGATTTTCCCACAAAGGATCTTAGTGAACTGATCATTCATACTTCAAAATAGAATTTGAGAATAATACTGTTTGCAATCAAAGTTGGGAACAAATCTCATCAATATGATTGGGCTTTGTGTCCCCACCCAAATCTCATCCTGAATTGTAATCCCCATAATCCCTATAATCCCAACGTGTGAAGGGAGAGATCAAGTGGAGGTGGTTGAATCATGGGGGTGGTTTCCCCCATGCTGTTCTTGTGACATATGGTGAATTCTCATGAGATCTGATGGTTTTATAAGGGGCTCTTTCCTTTTTGCTCGGCACTTCTCCTTTCTGCCACCTTGGAAGAAGGTGACTTAATTGACATGTGAGTCAATTAAACCTCTTTCCTTTATAAATTACCGCATCTCGGGCAGTTCTTTATAGCAGTATGAAAATGGGCTAATACATCTGTCTTCACTATTTACTAGTTATAAGGCTAGTAAATAGCCATATGACTGTATGGCATAATTTAATTTCTCTAAACCTTAGTTTTCTTATCTGTGAAATGGGTTAATAATACCTACATCATAGAAGTTATAGTGTATTAAAAATAGCACATGTAAAATGATGAACATGAAGCCAGGCACATGTAAGCAATCTATTAACATTATCATCATTTTCATTGATGTTCCCTATAGAGACAGTCATCTGTGGATTTGATGCAGGCAAACTAGATACCTTTAATAAAAATATGAGGTAGTTAGCAACTGCAAAGGAACCTTCTTATTCAGAGCTATTGTTACTGTCAGCAGTGTTAATATATTAATTTTGCTTGGTCATTGACTCAGTGTATAAAATATGTGGGCAGTGAACTGAGGAAGCTTAGGGACCAGTGTGAAAAAGACATATAAATCATATTAATGCAGTAGAAGTGTTATAATCAAGTGTATTTTTAATGGAAGCCCATAGAATGTGCTTTTACTGTATGGTTAGCTGAGTGGTTAGCCGATTGGAGAAGTGGGCAGGAAAGTGACATTTGAGTCTAGATGGATGAGTAAGAGTCTACTTGAAAGATGAGAGTCCAAGGAGGTTGCAAACAGAACCCTCTCTGCCACCAGAAGCATGAAGGTACAAAGAAAATGGCAGGCAGTAAGCATGCGAGATGTTAACTATGGAAAGAGTGTGGAGTACAAGACGAGAGAGGCATGAGCTAAGGCTCAATGAGGAAGGGCATCATTTGTTATATTTCACATTTATTTGCCATAAAATAGGCTTAGGACAGGTGTCTTGATCGTTAAGTGCAAAAGTCACATGATCAAATTTATGTTTCAGCAAGATGATCAGAGATGATGCAAATGAAAAATTACAGGGAGAGAAACTGAAAAAATATTGTTATGTTTTAAGTGAAAAGTAATGAGGTCTGCGACTAGGCAAAGACATGGAAGATAAATGGTTGGGAATTCAGGTGGAAGACTTTTGGGAACTGCAAGCCATTGAATTGTTTACTGAATGTGGGAATTTAATAGCAAGTGAATTATATGTCCACATTTGACCAATAAAACAATAGTGACATCCTTAGAATCAAGCAGGAAATGCAAAATGAAAAGCAGGATTTCTTTGAGCATGTAAGGGAATTTAATTCTCAATAATTTATTGATTTATTTTTATTTTTTATACTTTAAGTTCTAGGGTACATGTGCACAACGTGCACGTTTGTTACATGTGTATACATGTGCCATGTTGGTGTGCTGCATCCATTAACTCGTAATTTACATTAGGTATATCTCCTAATGCTATCCCTCTCCCCTCTCCCCACCCCACAACAGGCCCCGGTGTGTGATGTTCCCCTTCCTGTGTCCAAGTGTTCTCATTGTTCAATTCCCACCTGTGAGTGAGAACACGTGGTGTTCGGTTTTTTGTCCTTGGGATAGTTTGCTGAGAATGACGGTTTCCAGCTTCATCCATGTCCCTACAAAGGACATGAACTCATCCTTTTTAATGGTGGCATAGTATTCCATGGTGTATATGTGCCACATTTTCTTAATCCATCCAGTCTATCATTGTTGGACATTTGGGTTGGTTCCAAGTCGTTGCTATTTTGAGTAGTGCCGCAATAAACATACGTGTGCATGTGTCTTTATAGCAGCATGATTTATAGTCCTTTGGGTATATACCCAGTAATGGGATGGCTGGGTCAAATAGTATTTCTAGTTCTAGATCCCTGAGGAATCACCACACTGACTTCCACAATGGTTGAACTAGTTTACAGTCCCACCAACAGTGTAAAAGTGTTCCTATTTCTCCACATCCTCTCCAGCACCTGTTGTTTCCTGACTTTTTAATGATCGCCATTCTAACTGGTGTGAGATGGTATCTCATTGTGGTTTTGATTTGCATTTCTCTGATGGCCAGTGATGATGAGCATCTTTTCATGTGTCTGTTGGCTGCATAAATGTCTTCTTTTGAGAAGTGTCTGTTCATATCCTTCGCCCACTTGTTGATGGGGTTGTTTGTTTTTTTCTTGTAAATTTGTTTGAGTTCTTTGTAGATTCTGGATATTAGCCCTTTGTCAGATGAGTAGATTGCAAAAATTTTCTCCCATTCTGTAGGTTGCCTGTTCACTCTGATGGCAGTTTCTTTTGCTGTGCAGAAGCTCTTTAGTTTAATTAGATCCCATTTGTCAATTGTGGCTTTTTTTGCCATAGCTTTTGGTGTTTTAGACGTGAATTTCTTGCCCATGCTTATGTCTTGAATTGCCTAGGCTTTCTTCTAGGGTTTTTATGGTTTTAGGTCTAATGTTGAAGTCTTTAATCCATCTTGAATTAATTTTTGTGTAAGGTGTAAGGAAGGGATCCAGTTTCCGCTTTCTACCTATGGCTAGCCAGATTTCCCAGCACCATTTATTAAATAGGGAATCCTTTCCCCATTGCTTGTTTTTGTCAGGTTTGTCAAAGATCAGATGGTTGCAGATGTGTGGTATTGTTTCTGAGGGCTCTATTCTGTTCCATTGGTCTACATCTCTCTTTTGGTACCAGTACCATGCTGTTTTGGTTACTATAGCCTTGTAGTATAGTTTGAAGTCAGGTAGTGTGATGCCTCCAGCTTTGTTCTTTTGGCTTAGGATTGACTTGGCGATGCGTGCTCTTTTTTGGTTCCATATGAACTTTAAAGTAGTTTTTTCCAATTCTGTGAAGAAAGTCATTGGTAGCTTGATGGGGATGGCATCGAATCTATAAATTACCTTGGGCAGCATGGCCATTTTCATGATATTGATTCTTCCTATCCATGAGCATGGAATGTTCTTCCATTTGTTTGTATCCTCTTTTATTTCGTTGAGCAGTGGTTTGTAGTTCTCCTTGAAGAGGTCCTTCACATCCCTTGTAAGTTGGATCCCTAGGTATTGTATTCTCTTTGAAGCAATTGTGAATGGGAGTTCACTCATGATTTGGCTCTCTATTTGTCTGTTATTGGTGTATAAGAATGCTTGTGATTTTTGCACATTGATTTTGTATCCTGAGACTTTGCTGAAGTTGCTTATCAGCTTAAGGAGATTTTGGGCTGAGACGATGGGGTTTTCTAGATATACAATCATGTCATCTGCAAACAGGGACAATTTGACTTCCTCTTTTCCTAATCGAATACACTTTTTTTCTTTCTCCTGTCTTATTGCCCTGGCCAGAACTTCCAACACTATATTGAATAGGAGTGGTGAGAGAAGGCATCCCTGTCTTGTGCCAGTTTTCAAAGGGAATGCTTCCAGTTTTTGCCCATTGAGGATGATATTGGCTGTGGGTTTGTCATAAATAGCTCTTATTATTTTGAGATATGTCCCATCAATACCTAATTTATTGAGAGTTTTTAGCATGAAGGGCTGTTGAATTTTGTCAGAGGCCTTTTCTGCATCTATTGAGATAATCATGTGGTTTTTGTCTTTGGTTCTGTTTATATACTGGATTACGTTTATTAATTTGTGTATGTTGAACCAGCCTTGCATCCCAGGGATGAAGCCCACTTGATCATGGTGGATAAGCTTTTTGATGTGCTGCTGGATTCAGTTTGCCAGTATTTTATTGAGGATTTTTGCATCAATGTTCATCTGGGATTATGATCTAAAATTCTGTTTTGTTTGTTGTGTCTCTGCCAGGCTTTGGTATCAGGATGATGCTGGCCTCATAAAATGAGTTAGGGAGGATTCCCTCTTTTTCTATTGATTGGAATAGTTTCAGAAGGAATGGTACCAGCTCCTCCTTGTACCTCTGGTAGAATTCGGCTGTGAATCCATCTGGTCCTGGAATTTTTTTGGTTGGTAAGCTATTAATTATTGCCTCAATTTCAGGGCCTGTTATTGGTTTATTAAGAGATTCAGCTTCTTCCTGGTTTAGTCTTGGGAGGGTGTATGTGTCGAGGAATTTATCCATTTCTTCTAGATTTTCTAGTTTATTTGCGTAGAGGTGTTTATAGTATTCTCTGATGGTAGTTTGTATTTCTGTGGGATCGGTGGTGATATCTCCTTTATCATTTTTTATTGTGTCTATTTGATTCTTCTCTCTTTTTTTCTTTATTAGTCTTGCTAGCGGTCTATCAATTTTGTTGATCTTTTCAAAAAACCAGCTCCTTGATTCATTGATTTTTTGAAGGGTTTTTTGTGTCTCCATTTCCTTTAGTTCTGCTCTGATCTTAGTAATTTCTTGCCATCTGCTAGCTTTTGAATGTGTTTGCTCTTGCTTCTCTAGTTCTTTTAATTGTGATGTTAGGGTGTCAGTTTTAGATCTTTCCTGTTTTCTCTTGTGGGCATTTACTGCTATAAATTTCTAAAGGCTTTCAAAGTAAAAAATTTGAATTATAGCACAAATGTGTCATTTTAGAAAATGCCAGGTTTATAGGAAAAAGTTATAAATTGTAAATTGTGATTTTATCTTACTGTGTCAATCAGAACAGAGCCAAAGATGTGGCTTGCAATTTACTTTAAGAAAAGAAATCACATATTTGTAGAATATTTTGTAATTTTCACTTCTCCTTTCCATAAACTGCCTTGTTTAATTCCTTGAAGAGTCTCACTATTCTTTCCTTTATGAGGGTTCTACAAATGTCCCTTAAGCAAACACTAGGTATAAGGAACTGTCCTAGGTTCCGGAAACACCTCACTCTCACAGAGGATACATTCTAGGGATAGAATAGGGGAGTTATAAGTATCTAGAATAGAAAGTCTTAACTTGGGCCCTGAGTAGTATTTGGGGATAGTGAGGTATACACGATCTCAATAAAATTTACGTAAAATAGTTCTAAGAAGAGACTTTTACCAGATTTCAAAGACTTTCATAATCCTAAACTGGTTAAGAATCATGGTTTTCAAAGCTGAGCCTCAAAGAAGTTAGCTGACTTGCTCAAGTTCCCAAGAATCAAGTTACAATTTGGATCTTAATGTACTGTGCAGTGCCATTCAACCCCTCATTGCTAATTGTCTTGCCATCTTTATCTCCAAAGAATGGTCAATTTTCCTGAGTTCTAATACATTCCTCAGTTTACTTATTATAAATGTCACTTCCAATCCGGTTGCAGCAATTAATAATTTTGTAATATAGCTGGATCGACTTTAATTTCTTTTGGCTTTAAGTGCAGAGACATCCAATCCTGCTAGTTCCAAAGGTGTTTTCTGAAGGCAGTGTTCCCAAATCACTGTTGGAAAGGAATATGGCAAGGCTCCTGAAGAAATTCCGGTGGAATTTCTTTAATCATCTGGTGGAAGTGGAGATGTGTGTGGTTCCTAAGAATATTGTGAGTCCTATATTTAGGACACAGACCAATGCCTTTGAAATGGCCTTCTTGGCTTCCTGCAGTGTGGAGCTGTGATCTCCATGGTGAGATATCCCTTATATTTACACACTGCCACCTGACCTTTGGGTCAGGGCATTTCCAATCGATTTAGGAGTGCAGCAAGTGCAACGACGGTGTTGATGAGCTCTTACAGCATGGTAAGCAAGGCTGCCTGGGACTGAGGGGCGTGGGAACTCTATTGATTTTTAGGTACTTTTTATCACATACTCCTACACTGCTGGACTTTGAATTAAGTTAGTTTTCAGACAACATACCAGAGGGCAAGAAAACAAAAAGTGGGATTTTTACACATACCCTGGAAACAAGTTAATTTTTCCTGGGGAAATCAAGTAGAGAGCTGGTTACCATCTTAGCAATTAACAGAAGTTAGACAAAATGTTTAACAGGAATTGGCTTTGTGGATTATGGCATTGGGTTACCAGAACAGCAATCAAAATGCACCTCAGTAGTCTCAGTTTGTTAGAACTGTGTCTCACTTCAAATATAACTTTGCTCTGGAAGAATAGAGAGTCTCAAATTCACTTGTGGGATCCTCAAGAATTTTGCTTCTCTGATTGCCAAGCATTGAAGCAATAATTTGTTATTGAATTGAAGCAAGACAACAGGAAGATAATTTTATATCAGCCTGATGGCGTTGTTTACTGAAACTCTAATAAGCTTTTGGGCATGTAGTATGTGTGTGTGTGTGTGTGTGTGTGTGTGTGTGTGTGTGTGTGTGTGTGTCTTGATTTAGGGTTAAGTCTTCCTGATTTGAAGGAATAATTTTAAATAATATTGTCAGCATGGCCCTGTGATTCAACATCTGTTGCTGTGTTTTTTCCTAAATTCCAGTCTTTTGTATACACTTAGAAATTTGGATGATTTACATTGGATGCTTTTTTTTTTCTGCTCACTTTTAATCTTTACAGTATTTTCTGAAAGGCAGCATCAAATTCTGAATGGGCATCACTGATTCATTTACACATCTGTTAAAATTTTATTGAGCACATACTATGTGTGGTGTAATGCACTACTTTCCAATGATAAGGAATTTAGATAAGCAAAATGTGCTTCAGGTCGTCAGGCCACGGTGATTATAATTTGGAGAGACTGTAGGTAGGCAACTCATTACAAATGAAGCAGAATGAAACTATCACTAAATTGAGTAGGCAGGAATAGCTTACTCTGGCAGAAGGCACCTGAGAATCCTAATTGAGGGAAGACTTTTAGGTTTTAAGTAAGCAAATCCACCACTGGGAGAATGACAAACCCTGTCAGTCACATGCCTTTATTATCATGGCTCTGCTTTCAGTACCTCCCGGTTGTGATATCTGTACTCTTCTCTCTGCTCATCCAAAAAGTCTGCATTATTTCATGTTAAGAGAATAGTTTGATATTTACTATTGGCCAAAGCAAGAAAGGCTTTGCCTACTCCATGCTATAGCTTAGTATTTGTGGTGTTTCTTCATTATTGGTGTACTTCTCTACAGGATTTCTTTATGATGGTTTCTGTCTTTAGATACTGACCTAAATTATTACTTGCCCTGGCCTTTTGGGGAAGAAAGTCATAAAATCAACTATGCCTTAGATCTGCATTGTCAAATCGGAAGCTATCAACCACTGTGGTCAATGAGCACTTGAAATTTACTAGTCCCATTTGCAACATGCTGTAAGTGGAAAAAACACACTGAGTTTCAAAGACCTGGTATGGAAAAAAATGTAAAATTTTATTTTTATTTTTATAGTGAATACAGGTTGAAATGCTGAGAACTTTATACATATATCTATTTAACTATACATATATTTAACTAATCAATTTTGATTTATTATATATAAAAATTATATATATATTTATGGGGTACATGTGATATTTTGAAAGATACAATGTGTAATGATCAAATTAGGGTAATTAGGATATTCATCACCTCAGATATTTATTCTTTCTTTGGGTTGGGAACATTCCTTATGTTCTCTTCCAGCTATTTCAAAATATAGGTTAAATTTATTCATAAGTTTTTTTTTTGTTATCCCTTATAAATGTGATTGCTCTCTTGATTTCTTTTAGAGATTCTCTGCTGTTGGTGTATTGACCTGATACTGATTTTTGCATGTTGATTTTGCATCCTGCCATTTTACTGAATTCATTTATCAGTTCTGCTAGTTTTTTTGGTGGAGTCTTTAAGTTTGTCTAAATATAATATCATGTGTGAACAAGGATAATTTCATTTCTTTTTTCACAATTTGGGTGTCCTTT
The DNA here is from genome assembly GCF_000001405.40 of Homo sapiens. Lineage (NCBI taxonomy): Eukaryota > Metazoa > Chordata > Mammalia > Primates > Hominidae > Homo > Homo sapiens. Next base: position 82,023,346 of record NC_000010.11, read on the forward strand.
ATTTCTTTCCCTTGCCCAATTGTGCTGGCTGGAACTTCTGGTGCTATGTTGAATAAAAGTGGTGATGGCAGGTATCCTTGTCTTGTTCCAGATCTTATAGGAAAGGCTTGCAATTTTTCCCTATTCAGTAAGATGTTAACTATGGGATTTTTATAAGTGGTCTTTATTATTTTGAGATATGTTTCTTCTGTACACAATTTGTTGAGAGTTTTCATCATAAATGGATGTTGAATGTAATGGAATGCTTTTTCAGCAGCTATGATCATATGGCTTTTGTTCTTGATTCTGTTAATGTCATGTATCATGTTTATTAATTTACTTAGGTTGAACCATCCTTGTATCCCTAGGATAAATCCCATTTGATTATGGCAAGTCAATTTTTTTAACGTGTTATTGAACTTGCATGATGGAATTTTGTTGAGGATTTTTGCATCCATGTCCATCAGGAGTATTGGCTTGTAGTTTCCTTCTTTTGTTGTGTCTGTGTCTGGTTTTGGTATCAGGGTAATGATGGGCCCATAGAATGAGTTTGAAAGTTCCCCTTCTCTTCAACTTTTTGGAATAGTTTAAGTAGAATTGTTATTGCTTCTTCTTTAAATGTTTTGTGGAATTCAGCAGTGAATCTATCAGGTCTTGGGCTTTTCTTTGATGTGAGACTTTTAATTGTAGCTTCACTCTCATTACTTATTATTGGCTTGTTGAGGTTTTCTATTTCTTCATTGTTCAATCTTGGTAGGTTGTATGTGTGCAGGAATTTATCCACATTTTTTTAGGTTTTTCAATTTGTTGGCTTATGGTTGTTCAGAATATCCTCTAGTGAGTCTCTGAATTTCTGTGGTATCAGTTTTAGTATCTCCCCTTTTCCTCTGGTTTCATTGAATTGAGTCTTGTTTTCTTAATTCGTGTAGCTAAGGGTTTGTTGATTTTGTTCATCTTTGCAAAATAACAAGTTGTATTTGTTGATCTTTTGTTATTTTTGTATCCTTAATTTCATTTTTTCTGCTCTGATCTTTATTATTTCTTTTCTTCTACTAATTTTGGAAAACCTTTATACAGTGGGTTAAAGAAAATATCTTATTAATAATTAATATTAATTTCACCTGTTTCTTTTTCCTTTATTTCACATGGCTACCAGAAAATTTAAAAGTTTACATGTGGTTTTCATTATATTTCTGTTAAACAGTGCTGCCTAAGATAGTGCTTATGGAACTGTTGTCACAAAACTTATGTATAAGTGGGTTAACCGAGATAATAAAGCTGAATTCAAGGTGTGTAGAATGAGCACTAGACTGAGATCCAGGGACTGATTCAGTCCCAGCTAGGACTTGGTCTCCTCAGGTAGCCATTCACTCTACGTGTCTGGAATGGAGTGCACTCACTGAAAAAATGCGGAAAAGATTGAGAAGTAGATCATTTCTAACCCCCTTCCTACATTAAATTCAGTGATTCAACTGTGTTCAGGAGTATACGATTGAATCATACTTGTAGCCCTCCCAGTATCTTCTCAAAGCCTTTTAGACAAAACCGTCTTCCTCATTCCACATCATAATTTATTTGAGAGGTTAAATTTGTAATTACTGTAATTTGGAGCTTCCTTGATCAGCCTGAGGCTGGAGCACAGCATCCTTCAATCTGTTCAGTGCTAAGTGAATCAGTTGAACATGTTGTGATTTATAAGGATCTGATAAATATGTTTTGCAAGAAAGTTTCCAGCACTCTTTGAAAAAATTTAGAGTGTTCTGAAAGTAAACTGTAGTTTTTATGTCATTTCAAATAATTAAGAAGAAATTGTTTCTTATTTTTTAAATTAATATTGAAAAATCTATTTCTAACTTAAATTCACAGGTAAAAAATGTGGAATACTTCATATATTTCTTATAATATTAAATATCTTATTAATATTTTATATCTTACACTTTGATATAAAGAAATATAAGAAATATATATAAGAAATACTCTAGCCATATCTGACTTTTTTCCATGTACGTATATTTGAATATAATATAGATTGTAGTGTATATGTTTTAGTTTTTTAAAAAAGTTTTAACATGTGTTCTACTTTGGAACATGAGTAATTTATAATATTTTTTCTTATAAATAATAGTATGTTTACATGTGCATATGCCTGAGATAATTAGTTTAGGATCATTTCTTAATAGAGAAATGCTGGTCAAAGGACATAAATATTTTAAGATTTTTTCATATTTATAATAAACTTTCCTTCCAGGAAGTTTGTATTTTCCATTTGTGTTTCCCTTAGCAGGGACTGCCTGTTCCCTGCAACCTTACCAATACTAAAATTAAGATTTTAAGTTTTGTTTTGGTTGACGAGTGAGAAAACATACTTTATTTTTGTTGGAATTTATATTTCTTAGGTTACTAAGAGAATCCAAAATTATTTAATGAGCATATTGGCAACTTCTAATTCTTCTTTGTAAATAGCTTGTTTTGGGTTTATATCGTCTATTTACTTACTTATTTTGGATAGTTTTTTGTTTTGTTTTGTTTTGATAGCTGAGCTGGTGAGATTATATAGCACCCTTGAAAACTTTCCTCTTTGCTCTGACTTCCAATCCTGTTCAGTCATAGACAGCCCTGCCCCTGCTCCATCCACATGTCACCTGAGCAAACAAGCATATACAACAGGGGGAAATCACTGTAGTCCTCATCTTGGCATGTGGGTTCCAGAAAATAATCAAGCCCTTATAAGAGGAAGAAGATAATTTAACTCCCATTTGGTCCTTATATTGGAGTCTTTTAGAGCAATTTTTTCTAGTTTTTCCTTTCCAAAGCAAATGAAAAGACCCCATAACAATACTAGCTTTAAGATCTCTGCTGTAAACAAGGATTCTGAGTCAATTGGGATACCACAGGTTAGTTACGTGTACACTGGTGTATCCCCTTGCAAAATCACCTGCCTTGAGCTGTCATTACAGAACCATTATAAGAAAGGGCCATATAAAATATAAAATATTTTAATAAATTGGTTGTGAAAATATTGTTATGGACACTGTTTTGTATAACACTGACATTCCAATACACAAAGGATGCATTATAAAAGATGGAGTGCTAGAAAAAGCTAAAGTGCTCTTCAGGTTTATCTTGCTTCTGATACGTGTTACTGATGATGTTTCGGGAATTGCTTGTCTGCTTGGAAACTCAGAGCCAAATTTGATTCTTAATCACAGCAATAATATTGGCTGTTAGTATTGACTATTTTGGTAATGTATTTTTATGCTCCAATTTATATATTACCTATAATTTCTGATTTCATTATTTGGTAAATTTTTTTGTGTGGATTTTTGTGTGGGTGTGTTTGAATTTTGTCTGTCTGTTTGTCTGTTTGTTTGTTTGTTTGTCTGAAGGTTTTTGGAAACCTTCTTATTTCTGAAAAAGAGCAAGGCCTGTGATTAAGAAGAGTTTTTGCAAGTTCAGTGAATACTGTCATCATTTTCATAATAACTTTAAGGTTTATTACAGAAAACTAGAATAGATTTTTGCCTCTTCCTAGGCAAAAAAAGCTGTTGTTCCCAAGCAGAAAGGTGAAAGTCATCTTGTATTATTTCTTGGCTTTTCATTTTTATATATGTTTGCTTGCCTTAATGATAATAATGCTCTAATCTAATTATCAATCACCTGTTTAATGCTATTATTTCTGTTAATTCATGGGGGCAGCTAATGATTTTAAATAAGGTAGTTTTCACAAGAATAAGTGAACAACATGAAACTTTTTGTCAAATCAATTTTCTAGGCATCCTTTATTTTCTGGGCATCCTTTGGGTTTATTCAGTAGAATAGTCTTTGGAAAATTTGTAAATCATGCAATAATTGAAATAACCAAAATACTGTCTCCTTATACACATTTTACATAGGAATATGCTTTAGAAAACTAAGCAAAGTATAAGTAAAGGGAATATTACAGAAAGGTAAATGTCAGTGTTCTTCTATTCAAATTATGGGCTTTAATTTCCCCAGCCTTTTGGTGGTAAGTGAAGCCATCCTTGTCTTGAAAACTGTAGGGGGAACTGTTTACATGGCCTACTTTAGACCCTTATGTTATTCTGAGTTTTTTTCTTCTCCAGGGAAATAATTTTTAACTATGTTTGAAAGAATGAATTTAAGGCTTATTAACTGAACTCGTCTTCAAAAATTTAGAAACGATGGTTCTGTCAAATCAGATAATTTTCTTCCTGTGCATTAAAGCATAATATGAGGAAACTATTAGCTACAAAGCACATTTAAATGCTGCTTGGATATTGGTGTGCCCTTGCTCATTTTCTTGAGTGTTTCTCAATTCAAAACTCAAAATTAACTGCATACTTGGCATCAGGTCTTGCCATCAGGTTGAACCTGAGCTGATGTCAATGACACACTGCTTTGGAGCCCATGGGTAGGTGAGGGGATTGCAGTCTCTCTTCAGTGTGGGATTCTGAAAAGAGGCAAACTGATAGAGGCTCCAACCAAATAACTGTACCCACACATTGAGGGACTGAAGGTAAACTCCCAGAGAAGAGACAAAGACAGGAGGTGGAGAGCAGAATAGTCAGGAAACAAGTTAGTCACAGACTTTACTCAGATCCGGGTTGTGCAAGCAATGCAGACTTGACTCTTTTGTCCCATCCACTACTCACTGCCCACTGCACTCTTTTTGGCTGGGTTGTATTATTAACTGCTGGGAATATTTTTCTCAACTTCCATTAGAGTGGGGATTCTCATATGAGTAGTAGTAAGTAGAATAGTAGGAAGTAAGTAAGAAGAGTAGTAAGTGAAATTCTGAAGTACTACCTCTTCCTGCTTTTTTCTACTGGCCTTAAACATGGATGCAATGTCTGGAACTGCAATGATTATCTTGTAAACATGAACAAGAGATGACACCATGCCTAGGAAACACTGAATTTCTGCCTGCTTCCAGACTTCTGGTCATAGGAGGAAAAAACAAAACAAAACAAAACAAAAACCCCCATTAGAAGTCAAAATTTCTGCTACTTGAGTTCAAATGCATTCCTAACTTATATACTTTGTTGCCTCGTTTGTTGCCTTCTGCTCTTCAATAGTCTCACTCTCATTGGGGAAGAAAAATATATAAACTTAAAGTTCTTATTGCGACACTTCTTAATACCTAAAATTGCCATCCTGTTGAGCCAGGATGATCCTCACATATGAGGTACTTAGTAGTTGCTTGTTGAATGGATGTGAAAAATATTCCTGTTTTTCACTTTGGCCAAATTGAATGATAGAAACGCTTTGGGCTTCTCTGACCTGGCAGTTCCACAGTGCAAAGCAACATTCTGCCCTCAGATCAGCACACATCTTTACTTATACAAACCCTCACTCTGGGGTGCTTATTGTTATAGAAATCTGCTTCTGTTTTTGGCTTCCCTGATGGAAGGAAAAGGATGCCTCAGTTCCTGGATGTATTGTATGAACCTTGGCTATACTTACATAAAGCACAAAATAACTAAGAAATATGCTCACCCCGTAAGGATTTATGTGGAGCTCACTCACAAATACTTTCATAACTGCTGAGAATCAGCACGGTTTGGTGCGATGTTGAAAAGTCATCAGAATCAAAAAACTATGTGTCCAGGTGCGGTGGCTCACACCTGTAATCCTAGCACTTTGGGAGGCTGAGGCAGATGGATCACCTGAGGTCAGGAGTTTGAGACCAGACTGGCCAACATGGTAAAACCCCGTTTTTACTAAAAATAGAAAAATTAGCCAGGCATGGTCGTGGGCGCTTGTAATCCCAGCTGCTCGGGAGGCTGAGGCAGGAGAATTGCTTTAACCTGGGAGGTGGAGGTTGCAGTGATCAGAGATCGCATCACTGCATTCCAGCCTGGGCAACAGAGAGAGACTGCATCTCAAAATAAAAAAAAGAATCAAATAAACTCTGATACCCATCGTTACCACCATTGGCTGTGTGCTGTGGAGAAATTTAGTTAACTTTTCTCTGAAGAAGTATTCCTTCCTTTGTAAAAATAGACATAAATATGCCAGTTTCCCAAAGTGAATGGGATTAAATTAAATCATGTATACATATATAAAGTGTTTGGCATGTAGTAAGGGATTAATAAGTGATACCTGTTATATTAATGGTTGTGGTTATCTTGCAATATGATAGTTGAAAGATGTGCTGATTCAAAGCTGTCAACCCAACATCTTCCTGGGATCTCACCTGCCTTGCTGTATTATCTGCTGGCGTCTCCAAGGGTGACCAGCTTGAACGATTTCATTATGTGTCACTACTACAACATTTTACACAAATACAATTAAACAAGTTCGTCTTCCAGCACACTAGTTGGGAGTTAAAAACAGTTTCTATTGATTTATATTTTTGATGGACTTCATTGAGAATGTTCTGATTTGTGGGTTAATGCTTTCTTACATTGAGGGTTCCCAGGAGCCCTGCAGTGAAGATGGTAACCTTTACCTAAACTCACCAGAATGATTAATTAATGTTTACCTCTAATGAGCTAATTAGGAGTTTGGGACATTTTGGCATTTTGAATGGCTTACTTGATTATCTAAAGGGAACTTTTACCATCTCAAGAGGAATTATAATTGGCCTTAGGGAATAATAGAATCACCTAAAGTATAAGAAAGCCTCCCTCATGTTGGCAAACAACCTGTCTAACAAATGTCCCCTTTGACAAAACAGCCCGCAGTCACAAATACGAGTTGAAATCGTAAGGGGAACTCTGACAGGATTTACAGTTACATTAATTGCTCGCTCTTGGCATGGGTGATTTTTGTGATTAGAAGAGGATCAGAGCAGCTTTCTACTCAAGTCTTTGGCTTGAGGCTGATCATTCTCCATAAACAATGACACCTTTGGGAGGGCAGCCAAAAATGTCCCATAGAGAAATATCAGGAGAGATTCTTACTTAATGAGATATGAATAAGGCTGTTGAGCTCCACCAGATCTTTGCTTGTCTCCTTAATGAGGAAACATCACAGTGGGTGAAGTGGTGATAATGTTAATAACCATGATCCAATTCAATGAATGGTGGAAGTAAGGAGAGAATTCAGGAAACAGACGTAACACAACTCTCTATACAAACCTCTGGGTCAGTTATGTAACTTGATTTTATGTTTATCTTCAAGTGAGGGAGTTAGTGCGCCTGGCTTATGCAGTAGTTACACATAAGACATGTAGATGGAAGTCTAATAAGTGAAGGAGACTAAATAGAAAGTCAGATGTACCTCAGGGAGAAAACGTGATTCATACCAAAACTCACTCTACGGAGTGAGAGAGCTACTCAGCACTTTAATGGAGGATATGATCAAGACTTGATTTTCCATTTCGTTTTCCTTTTTGGAATTATGCACTTCCCAACAGAAATGTCTAATTTGGAAAAAAAAAAAAGGGACCTCCACTGTCAAGTTGGGGGAATGAGGGCAGGAAGGAGAAAATGAATATAAAAGAAATAAATGAAGGACAAGTTTGCAAAAAATAGGTTGTGCAAGAACCAAGAAGGTTTAAAACAACGTTCAGAGTAATGAGCTCAATTCACTAGGAATGGGGAGTTCTTGAAGGAATTGAAGCAAGGAGATTACCTGATTAGAGATAGGTTGCATTTTAGGTAAAGGTAGAAATAATTATTGGAATTTAGAAAACCTCCCAAAATACCTGATTATAAAATCAAAGTTATTATCTAGATATTCAAGTATTAAATAACTTTTAAATAACCTGAAACACATGGATCTTCACATATGTGAAGAAAGCATTTTCCCAGCCACATTCATTATCCGTAAAACATTTTACAGTACCTGTCATAGAAGACCCGTCCCATTTATATATAAAGTTTCATCGGTGCTCTTTAATGTCACATTATTTTAGGTATGGTTGTTTCAACTGAGTGCACACATCTATTAGTGCTAAGTCACATTGGATAATGAAGCACTGTTATTCCCACGAACCTGTGTTAGGTGGACCAGGGATTTTAATTAAATATCTGAATGAGTGTTGTAAAGTGGATACTCTCTAGAAAGCATCTGTCAGGGTTAATACTTTACAAGTTAGCTATGCCTCTTTCAACCTTTAATTATAATATTCTAACTCTTTATCCTTAGTTACTGCTAATAATTTCAAGGTTATACAGATAGAAATTACTTGATTATCCAAGTGCCTGCACTTATCGAATGAAATAGAAATCAATTTCACTGTACATGGTTTATAAGTAAGCAATGCTAACATATTATTGTATTTTTCTAAAAAAATTCTTTTTTTAACAAAAGGAATTGAAAACCACATGATATCCTGTGGTTGAAAGTGCCTAATGCCTGCCACATATGTAACAAAAGTAAATTCTTAATAATAACAGTGATAGTCCTCCTGCATCCAATAAACAAACGCACTTCTTGATCATTGACAATTCTTCAGCTCTCTTTAAGCATTGATCTTTAGTCCTTATTAATTTCTCATAGTGTCCTGCTTGGCCCCCATAAGTCCATTTCATCATTTAAGTATATGGCCTTGCCACTTCCTTCCCCACAAGTAGACTTTGGCCATTTCTATGGATGCAGCATTTAGAAAAGATTTGCTTTAGCCCTTAATTTTCAGAATCATAAAGCACATCAATAATTTTTTCACCTCCAAGCCACCCCTTCACACCACCTTCATGTGGGCTGACCAAGCAGTGGGCCATTCAGGAGTCAGGCAGTTGCTGTTCCTTGTTAGGAGAAGTAGAAAGCCATGACCCCAGCATTGATATCAAATCTTTTAAATATTGGTTATGGGGTATTTTGACTTTTATCTTGTTTGATTCTTTTTTTTTTTTTTATTTCCAATCACTGTTTTGATAAAAATGTGTTAATTATATGCTTCTGTTTAAGAGTCATGATGTTACTCTTCTGTTGATGGACCTGCAAACTTCATTTATTATAAGACAATGAGAAGTTATTATTCTCCCTAAGAAAGCTAGCTTAGCATTCATTTTAAGAATACTGAAGAAAACTTTGATTCTCTAACTAGAAAAGAGAGATTAAAAGTATTTAAAAGTACAAAGGAAGTTTTTTCCCTCTCAGGCCTCTCTTGGTTCCTGGTTTGTTGTTGTTGTTGTTGTTTTTTCTAATGCTGCTTCAGTTAACAATGCCTTGTGCTGGTATGCTATTTTTTAAATGCAATGGAGGGAACAGATAGATCTTCATTCTTCCTAAGAGTAGAAAATTCTCATTATGGAGACTCATAATCTTCAATATTTGAAGACTATATTCACACCAGATCAGAATAATGATAAGTTAAGCAGAATTGAAACATATTGAAATCATATTTGACACTGGAAATTCTTTAATTCTATGAGAACTATATCATTATAGTTCTCATTTTATAAGAAAGTTATTTAATATATTTTAAGGATGATAATAGCACATTGTGCGTTAACTTTGATGTCTCTTTCTTTGACAGTTTGGAGACTACATTGGCTTGCAATGGAGAATAAAATCTCAACCATATTAATGGGATCATCTTTTATTCTCCAAGGCCTAAGTAGTTTCCAGGGCACATGATGCCCCTTATAGATCCTCATTTGTCCTTACAGTGTCTTCATTCTGGAATGTGTAACTAAAGTAAATTCCAAAAGTAAATGTTAAAGAATCATTTTTAAAACCAAGTAAAATAATGACCCTCATGCTGATATAAAATGAACACATATTAAATATTTAACTCATTAATGTAGGAACCAATAAGATGTTGTAAGTTCAAAGGAGAATTCAAAGAACAGACTTAATTATAGATTAGGAATATTGAAAAAAATGTGAAAATTGAAGGAAAACTGGCCTGGGCCATGGTGGAAAAAGGAAGCCAATTGAAATCCTGTCAGACAGAATGTTGCATTTCTATAGGAATATTATTTTTTGCATTGCTAATGGCTATTGACAACTTACAGATTTGTAAAATGGCTCAATGCAAGGTTGGAATGAGATTTCCTGGAATAATGTACCGTAGACAATGCAGTTTTCCCTGAATAACACATTTTTCCCCTACAGTACATTGTTCCCTCTTTATTGGATAACTAGTATTTACCATTAAGATTTTGCTCAAGCATGTACCATAAGAAGCCTTCCCTGGTACCTTCTGTCTGTTTTTAGGTTTCCCTCTACCTCTCAAAATAGCTTATAAATAACAATCACTGGTCTCTATACATGGCATTATAATTCCATATTTATGATTTCCCTCAGTCCTTCTTCTTTAAGACCAGAACTATACCTTTTTATTTTATTTTTGCATAGTATTTGTATAGTGTTAGACACCTAGACAAAATTGACAAGTTGCCTACAGAATGAATGAGTGAATGAATCAAGTAGTGATGGATGTATGCTTGTGTCAAATTTACATGAGCATGTGTGATAGGAAAACATTTGTCATGCAGGATGCATCAGGGATTTGAGCATGGTCCCTTTAACTCTGAGCATTGCACAGCTCATATCATTACTAAATTAAACTCTATGCTTACCTGACTTTGCTACAACCTTACTCTCTGATCCCAGAAAAATTCTGTATACCTTGAAACTAATTTATATTAGTGAAATACATATTCTTTATTCTTGCAAAACTGCCTGTGAAAATGTTTTTTAATCATAGGTCATTTGACATTATAGTAATATATTTGCAAAAGTGGAAAGTTTTGCATAAGCACAAGTAATGATCTTTAACTACCTTAGAAATGATTTAAAGTAGGTGGTCAAAGAATCTTTACTTTTCTGGTATTTCTGGCATTATGGCAAAAGCAACGAAGCAAGAGCTAGTTCCTTCTCTTTACTTCCTTCCTGTAATCTTTGCAGGTTCTTTGTACATGTTAGGAAATAAACCTTTATTAGTTGAATCTCTAATCTGTTAGTACATTTTTTAAATTACTTAGCATTAAGTCTATAATGAGTAGACAGAGACCATATACATGACCCATTATTTAAAGGTTCTTAAATTTCAGATATGTTTACACAAAATTGTGCTTCTTCCGAATCCTTATTTCAGATGATTCTTGTTTGAATATATGTTGGCACCTGTATGTTCAAAACAGTGGAGGTGTCTTGGAAACCGCAAGATGCATCCTGCAAAAAGGTAGAGGGTGGTAGAGAGTGTCCTGAGTTTTAAATAAGTAGATTTTTGGATTTGAATTTGAGCTCTGTCAATTTCTATATGCATGACCTGAAGCAAGCTACTTAATTTCTTTCTATTTCATTTTCCTTATATCTAAAATGAGAATAATAATCCTGATTTCATAGAGCTGAGGTGAGGGTAAGGCAGACAATGAATGCAACTGACTTATGAAAGCAACTGGGGAATGCATTCATTCCCCAGCCATTCCCTGGAGTACACCTTGTTTTATCTGCATTTGTTCATCCCTGTTTCTTACTCCTTGTCAGTCACCACCTTCTTTAAATCCTTCATGGTTGAGCTTAAAACCCACCCGTTCCTGCCTTGTTGATTGGTTTTTCTTGTCACTGCCAAGTAGACTGTGGGCTCAGTGAGAGCAGAGGCTCTGCTCTGACTTGTTGAGAGACCCCAGAGCACCTCCTACGGTCTGGCAGCCCACACCCAGTGGACTAAAATGCAGCCCTGGCACCATCTTTCTATACTTCTTTTCTCAGAGGTGTTGCCTCATTTTGACCTGTGTTCTCTAGAAACCCAAGAAATTTTCTCTAAAGAACAGACTTAAAGTGAATATAGTTTACTCCGTGCTGTTCATGGTTCTGAATAGAGTTGGCGCATATATAGTGGGTTTGATTTTCTTTACCAAGCTGCCCTGTAGTTCGAGCAGCTTGCACATATGCTTCCAGATAGACTCGCCCAGCATGCCTTCCAGAATCCAATACAGCTTCAGAATTCCAGAGAGTGAGGACTGACCTAGGGTCAAATGCATTAACCTGCTCCATCACCAAAATGCTGCTGGAGGATTGAACAGATGTGTGTCAATGCTTGTGGTATCAGTAAAACATACGAAAACATGGATTTATTTTAACTCCCTGTGGTCTGAAGCTGTAAGGTAGAGATACAAAAATTCATACACTGTGATTTTTTTTGCTGTTATTTTCTTCTTCACAGTGTATTTATTCCTTCTGAGCATCTTTGGCCATGCACTGTGTTTTCTTTAATGAAAGTAGAAAATTTGTATCCTCATTGCTTATTTTTAGCACTGTTGCTATGATAAACTGTAGCCTAGGCATCTTATTAAAATCAATTGAGGATTTGAATTATTATTCCCTTTAATATTGTGGCATTACTATTCTTTCTGAAAATATTTCACCATGTATGAATCTATCCAAATATTTCCTATGACTTACTGGAAAGATATTTCTCATCTATTTAAGGGATATATAAAAAATAGCCTCATAGGGGTTGGGGACAAATGTTTTTGTTTTCCTCTGGATTGTTTTTGTGGGAAAGTGTTAGGTGCAATTATTTTTTTCAATACTCTGCTTAAGAATAATTTGTAATATCTTTAGGATGAAGTTGCATAGTACAAAACAACTTTTTGTGAATAAAGTAATTGACAATTTTGGTTTTAATTACCACATGTCATGACTAGTAGACTTCCTAACAAAACACATAGATTGGGCAACCTGAATTTTTCTACATAAAAATTGAGGTCTTACAATATCATGAGGTCTTACAATATCAGTGAAGCAATAATCTGCATTCCAAGACTTTATGCTGTTTCACATGTGTAAATAGCAACTACAGCATCTACTATTTCTGCCATGGAGTCTGGGACTGTTTCAAGGCTGTTCATCTATGATTTTCATTCTCAGTACCAGGATCATGGGCAGGAATGGAGCTTGAAGAGATCTGGGCCCACTCACAAGGGTTTTTAAGAATCAGGAGATGGTAATTATTAAGAGGAGGTAAGAACTGAGTTGAACCTAAAGGGTCGACTTATATTTTAGGCTGTTAGACCAGAATTATACCTCCCTTTAAACTAGATAAACATACTAGCATAAAACAACCTGCAGTGATGAAGGGGAGGCCATTAAACCCAAAGAGTCCTAGTTCTAGGCCAAGTGTTAGGCTATCTGCTTTCGTAAGTACATCCCATTTAATCTTCCTAACAACCCTGCTAGGCACAAGTTATTATCCCCATTTCACAGATGAAGAAACCAGGCTCGGGGAGATTAAATAACTTCCTCGTTGTAAGGGGTTGCACTGGCATTTAAGCTTAGCCCTTATGATTCAAAGCTTATGCTTTATGTTATATGATGCTAAAATAAAGGCATGGTTTTTTTCCCATGGAAGAATATCCTTCATATTTTTTAAAGTTGTAGTAAGTAGCACATAAATGAGACCTACTCTTAAGAAATTTTATAAGTGTATAGTACAGCATTAACTATAAGCACAGTGTTATATAGCAGTTCTCTAGAACTTTTGTAACTTGCATGACTGAAACTCTATACCCATTGAATAGAAACTCTCCATAGGTCTTTACATCTATAACTAAATTCTGATCACCCATTCCTGTCCCGGCACTGCTTATTTGTTTGTTGGTTTTGTTTTGTATAGAGGGGGAAAGGTGCCACATTAATGCCGAGTTCAAGGTCACTGTTTAACGAACAGGTCTTGGGGTAGCAATTGCTATAACATGTCAATAGCCAGATTCACCATAAAGGTGATCAGACTACTACCACGCTGTTTTATTAATCACTGTATGAATTTGATTATAATTTATAATCACCAACATAGTTTCTGTTCCATTTAGGTGACAGACTGTTGATTTACTTTGAATTCCAAGATGACAGTGCCCCTCTGAGTCAGGCAGGGTATATTTTAAGTCACAGTTACTTGAGAAGTCCCTCCCCAAAGCAGATCACAGACATCACTTCTTCATCTGGTTGAGAAGCTTCTGGATGGAGTCAGACTGCCTGGCAGATCCTGGCTGCACTCCAGAGAACTATGAGCACTGCCAGACAGCCCCCTGGCACTAGGGCTGGCCAAACAGTCATGGCACAAGGATCCTCTGTACTTTTACTGGGCACCAAGCCCAGCTCCATCAGGGCAGAATGTGGAGCTCAGCAGTTTGAAGTCTGGTCTCCATGGCACTAGGGCCAAAGGCAAGCTACAGAAATTCCAAGGCAACTGCATTGTCTCTGGTGTAGGCACATGACACATTCCACCCAAAAAATTAAGAGAGGCTGTATCCTGTCCCTGATCCAAGGTAGGAAGAAAATTCTCTCCTTTTCCCTTCTTTGTTCACATTATTCAAATTGCTTTCAAACGGTTTGAAAAATCGATTTTTTTCTAATAAACTCATGGTCTTTTAAACAGGTCTAACAGCATTGGCAGGATCTCATATGAATGAGCACAGTACTAGAAGACATCACGATGAGGCCTTATTCCAACTTCAGGTTGCAGTGTGTTTTCAACATGGCACTTAAACTTGGTGAACCTCAGTTTTCTCTTATTTTAATTACAATATTCATGGCATCTGCCTCACACGGGCTTTCCAGGGTTGTTTTGAGAACTAAGGGGAAAACTGTGTGTTCAAGAATTTGGCAAACTGGGGACATAGTGTGTGTATGCCATGTTTATGAATACTCCTAAGTAAGTCAACTTCGTAAGGGTTGGGTCTCTGTGGCATACAGAAGGTGCTCATGAATGCCTCAAAAGTCGTGGAAAGGAATCTTAGTGTGGGGAGGGGGGAGAGAGAGAGAGAGAGCAAAAAAAGAAGAAAGAATTCAAATCTCGGAAAACCCAAATATGCTTTTGAAATTAGTAATCTACACCCAGTAAAAATCTTAAAATCTTGCTTTTGTTCATTATGGGATACCCAAGAGATTTAATCTTTCACTAATTGTTTAAAAATCTTTTATAAACTGAAAGCACACCCAACATTAAGAGTTCTGAGCATTCTGAATTACTTACATTTGTAAAATTCCTTTTGAAAAATGTAAACCAAGCTTATTTCATAATGGTTTCTTCAAATCACTTTTTCCTATTGTAGTGTCCTTTACTGTCTATACACGGGATCACATGTTAATAGTACCAACTGTCCTGAGCCCTTTCCAAACACCAGGCTGTATCTAACCCTTTATCATAAGATGTCTCATTGACTTCTCATTGCAACCCTAAGATGGTCATTTTTACCATTTTACCCACTTTGCAGTTGAAGCTGGTTGGAGCAGTTACATAACTCAAGAAAAGGGGCAATGCTCATAAGTAAGAAGATGAGGACTCAATTTCAGACTACTAGAAGTCACAACCCATGAGTTTTGTTTTGTTTTTTCTTCAAAGAGCCATTCAAGACTCCATTTGCCAAGCCTAGACATGGCTTTTATGGAGTGAATTTGATCTTTATTAATAGCTGGAGGCACTGCATAAAAGGAACTTCTGGCCAGAGCCTAGTGGTAGTTAATCCCAGTGACCCAGCCTCATTCATTCATCTGTTTGCTTCTGGGACTACCACCTGAACATTTGTTTTGTCTTGGCTTCTTCCCTGCAGCTTGATACTTCACATGTGTCTCTGTTCTGTCTCTCCCAGTTCATCAAACTGGTTTCTGTCATCCTCTTTTCCATGTTTGACTTCTTGAGCACTCCACTTGTCCTCCCTGATCAACACTAGCCTAGTGAGGAAGAGAGAGGCCATGTATTCTATTTTCAGGTTGTTTTATGAAGCAGTTAGGCCCCACTGAGCTCAGAGGAGTGTGCTAAGGAAGTCTATGGAAACAATGCACAGTTGTATAATTTTGTTTTGAAATGTGTTCTGATAATACTTTTTCAGGCATCAAAGTTGCCTAATCCCTAAAAATATACAGGTGTATTATATAAAGAGGATAAGATATTATGCAGCTTAAACTCCTGGAAAAGTTCTCATTAGTTATATTTTACAACCAAGTTCCAATGCGAAGCAGCCTGTTTGTGAGTGATGATTAGCGCTGCCAATGCCCCAGCAGTAGCAGGAAAGAATGTCATGAAATGATCCAACTTCCATTAGAAAATAATGACTGTCTTGGCTGAGCAACATTTTTTAAATTAAATACCAACAATTCCTAGTAATCAGAGAGCCTATTAGCCATGAAATTCGATTTCAGTATCAGAGACTATTCACTTACCAAATGGGAGCCAAATAATTGTGAGTGGAATTTACAGTGCCGCATTGGGGATAGTAGTAAATATTATGGAAGTGGCACTAGGGTATAGCTTCAGCTCTGGGGAAATGTGGCATTTTAAAATTTCAGTAGCAAGTTAGTGTGATGATTAACAGAATGCAGTCATTAATTTCCAAGGCATGATATTTTCTCTTTAGTCATTTGAGAACCCAAGGTCTTACAGTGAACTCGTCATTAATTGCTACTTAGCTTCACTGGGCTTTTCCAAATGTCCATCAGCTCCCTTGAGATAAAATCAGGAATCTTTGCATTAGAATTAGCCTTAATTTATGGAGGGAGGTGTTCTTGATCCCAGGAGTGATCTTTAGGAAGACTGGAAAATAAGTTTATCATTTCTGCCAGCTCAGGTCTAAGTATTCTCTCTTCTTTTCACATGGTCTCTCCTGACGCATCACTGCCCAGGTCACCTCTTCAATCCTTCCTCATTCTTTGCAATCCCTGTTCAGGGATATGGGAAGAAAGTATTCACTATCTACTTCTGCCATGAATTGTGTCAAGTAACCCAGACACAAATAGTGGAAGTATATTATTAAGCAGGCCCATGTAGATTAAATACTGCTCCACAGCACAAAGTTAATAAGGGTTAAGAAGGAGGATTCATACCTAGGTCTATCCTCAGAACACTTGTTCTTTACATTATTGCACTATGGAAATAAAAGTTGATAAAATTTTAGGTGAATACATTGCTCTGCCATTTTCTAATTTCGTTTTAATACATTTTGAAGGAAACTTAAGCTTGGAAATTAATGTTTTCCACATGCAGCACTAAATTCCACCACCGTCTTTCAACAGTACAAATCCAATGGAGGAACTTTCAGTATTTTTCAAACATATATATACATCCATGCATATGTATACATGTATAGTATACACAAATATACCCATATGTATACACATGCACACACAAACACAGACATATATACATATATATACACTTATATACATATATGTTATATATACAATATATATGTAATATGTAATCTTTCATAATATCTTTCTTTTTTATCCATGAGGACTGAACTTTGCCTAACTGAAAAATCTCTCTCTTGGCACCCATATATGTGTCTCTACAAACTTGTTGGCAAACTGTATACTGGCACATGCATTCTACAAGACCACCAGGCTCAAAAGCAGAACATTTGGCGGATAGAAACTGCAGTGGCAGGCTTTCTAAAGAATAAGGCAGGAGAAGAACCCCACAGAGATGCATGGAGAAGATAAAACAATTTGTCTGTTGTCACACCCTAGGAAGGGTCAAGCCAGGCATTCAATCCATACTTAGCTGGTCCCAAAGTCCATATTCTGTCCACTACATTAACCTGCTGCTGTCAGAAAAAGAAAATGACAGATTTATAGTTCTCCTCTCCCTGCCCCAGTATATGTCAGCATTTTTAGGTATATTTGAACAAAAACTGAAGTTCATGCATGTCAATTGTTCTTCTAAAAGCCTTCTTAGTGGAAACATAGGGAAACATGGCCTTTAGACATGCCCAAAGTGAACACATTTGTTAGAAAACTCAGTGTTATGATGTATCATTTAGAGTTAACAGGTAAAACATTGCATATCAGCTGATTTTAGGAAGGACCAAATGCCATGCATATTTCTGCCATGAGTGCTTTTTACTTGCCATAGTGGGCCATAAGTAATTAAACTATGTCATTCGCATTTGAAAATACCATGACTACAGGCCTTACAAATAGTCTCCTTCCTAAGTTCTGTGGCTGTTAGAATCTGGGAATTGACATTGTTTCTTTTTTTGTAAGGAGTCCTTATGGCTTTCAGATCCCTTACTGGAATTCTTGCCACAAGAGGGATACTGAGCAGTGAAGGTTTACAAGTCTCCCTTGCGCTTGTGCATATGGATTAACTTCACTCTTTTAATACCTTACTTCTCCATCAGTTCTAGAGCCCACTGTGAGCTGAGGTGAAGGCACATTTTCCCTCCCAACAGGAAAGTGACCAATATTATATTTACTTCCTGGGGCAAATGGCTTTCTGTCAGCTTTACTTGTAAATCTGCCTCATTCTACTGGATCTATCTCTAAACCTAATTGCTTGCATACTGCCCAAAGCCACCTTTGGGAGCTATTTGTGAAGACTTTGTCTCATTTGTAAGCTACAAAGTCTCCAAAACACATATTTTCCCTCATAATCAGAGGTTGTTTTTGCTTTGGTCAGGAACAACATTCCTCAAAATATCTGTAGGGGGCTAATAAGTCACAAAGTGTTCCTGAGTAGACCAGGAGGTGTATGACAAAGATCTATGTCTTTCTCCCTCCTTCTATCCTTCTCTCTCCCTTCACCCTTCCTTCCTTCTTTCCTTCTTTTCTTCCTTTTTGCCATATGAAAGAAGAATGGTCTACTGATCTCTCTCTCTCTCTCTCTGTCTATTTCATTAAATGGCATTGCATTGCAATCTTCCCAACAACCAAAGTCAGAGTTGAAGATCATTCAGTCCAATCTCCTTATTTTACAGTTAAAAAACAAAAACACAAAACACAAAACTACCCCAGATGGGCGAAATGACTTGATCAAGTCACATAGTATTGGGCCTAGGGCCTGAACCCAGATTCTTTGAGTCCAAGTACAGTTTACTTTTAGGTAGTTAGAGATATAAAGTGGCCACTGAGATACAGTGCAATAGAGGATTTCCGGCTTTTTCCCCATCCAAAATAATCTCAGTCAAAGACAGTTTGAGGGAATATACTGATTTTGAACACGAAACCAAAATTATAGAGAACAGAATTTTTTTAAAAAAATTTGAGTATATTTAATTTATTGAAAAATTTAAATTGGATATTATTTGTTTTTGTTGCTTTTATTTCCAATGGCGATGGCATTTGGAACTGAAATTTAAAATGTAGGATTAGGAAGTAGCTTTCACATTTATCTTTATTTTTTGCAAATACCTATGCATATACATAGATTTTCAACTATGTTTTCATAGGATTTAATGGAAATTGTCAAAAATGTCTCAAGATAGTTATGATTTTTAAATGTTATGTTTAGAATTACTGATCAATTTATGATCAAAACTGCAAACAGTAATTGTAAATATTTTGAAGTTGGTGCTACTGTATTTTTCCCCACTATTTGCTACTCTGATTCTTAAATTTAATGGACTCATGTTGAAGACAAAGTATTTACAGTTATAAACACATAATACATTTAGAATTGTCAATGGAAGCTTGACTTTTTCTCACAGGATGGTTCATTGTGGTTAAGACTTCATTAGCATCAGTAATGTGTAGGAAACTTAACCTCTCATTTTCAAATGAAAAGTGTTCAGAATTTTTCAACTATTAGGCTGTTTGAGTTATCTGTGCTAGACATTTCTTGTGATATTTTTGTCATTTAGTTTTTATCTGTTTTTAATATCAAGGGAAAGTGAATGCTAGGTCAACGTATTTTGAATAAAATTATAGACAAAACCTTTTGAGTAATAATTATGTAGTAGGATGCAAACTGACACATAATGGCAACATTCGCAAAACATTTTATTAGAGATTTTTTCCTAAGAGGACATGAAATTTTGGCATTATTTTTATTCTGCTATATTTGTCATTAGATATGTAGACAGTTTCATGCCTGCTCATTTAAAATGTATGAGAATCTGTAGCAGTGTCACTGGTCCCTGGGAAATAAATGATGTCATTAAAATAACATTAGGACTTTGAGCTTCTTAAACCCAGAATTATTATCTTTAAGTGAGGACAGCTGCATGGCAGAAAATGTTGATGAGTCTCTTAGTGCTTAATTCAAGTGTTGTGTGATGGTTTTCCTGTACAAATCTACACTATATTGATAGTACCTGAGAGGGAAGAAAACAAATAAGCAAGTTCAAGCTTATGAACTACTACATTTCTCCACACTTAAGTGTGTCTTATTTCTTACCTCAATCAAATATTAGTTGGCTCAGAATAAAACTTTTTTTTAAAAAAAGCTAAAATTATCTCTTTGCTTTGCTTGTTCTTGTGGTACTACTGTTTCAAAAAGTCATTATTTAGTGATAAATATATTTGTGTTCAGGGCTGTTATTTTAAGTTAGAAGAGTAGAATATGTAGTTCTTTTTATCAAATAATCCCAGTCCTTAACTTCTTAATTTTGATCAATTTCTGTTTGGGTAGTGAATATATTTGGAGTATTTTTGCACACTGGAGAATCATCCTGTCACCTCCACACATGGAATAACATAGGTAGGTATAACACTCTGGTCCATTTCTGGGCAGTTGCTTTGCTTTATATTATATATTTTTGATGATCTAATGCTTGTAATACAGTAAGTCCTCACTTAACATAGTTAATAGGATCTTGGAAACTGCAACTTTAAGTCATACCACAAAATTGGTTTTGACATATAACAAAACCAGTTTTACCATAAGCTAATTGATATAAACAACAGTTAAGTTCCTGCTGCATATTTCTGGTGTACAAAACATCACCAAACTTCTAAATAAATACCAAAGCTCTTCTAATATTAAACATTGAAGTAAAGTGTTATCTGTATATACATTTAAGATAGACTAATAAAAACAAGTAAGGTAATTGTTTATTTCATTTTTGGTGAATGAGTGAGCGACAGTGATTGTTTGTATTGGTGGTGAGTTTAATCCAGGAATGAAGGTTTGCAAAGTGAAAATTGTCAGGGACGCTTCCTACCACCACACAGTTAACAATTACAAATATGGTGAGCTAACCGAGAGCTTCTGTACCACATAAGTTTATTGTTGAGCATGTGTATGATTATCATATACTTTATGAAGTTTTGCTTTACAATAATTTGTATTTATTAATTCACTTTCCAACTCTCTCACTGTAGTTCAGGGTTGCAGGTGGCCAGATCCTATTTCAGGAGCTCATGGGGCAAGGCAGCACCTAACCGTGGACAGGATACCCTTCCATCATAGGGCACACTCACCCACATACCCACACTCACTCAGGCTGGAACAATGTAGACATGCCAACAAAACTAACATGCACATCTAAGGGATGTGAGAGAAAACAAGAATATCCAGAGAAAAACCATGCAGACATGGAGAGAACATGCCAACACCACATAGACAGCGACCCCAGCTGGAAATCAGTGTTTTTCCCCCATTAACATCATAACGAAATAATTTTTTTTAATTTTTATTTTATTATTATTATACTTTAAGTTTTAGGGTACATGTGCACAATGTGCAGGTTAGTTACATATGTATACATGTGCCATGCTGGTGTGCTGCACCTATTAACTCTTCATTTAGCATTAGGTATATCTCCTAATGCTATCCCTCCCTGCTCTCCCCACCCCACAGAGTGTGATGTTCCCCTTCCTGTGTCCATGTGTTCTCATTGTTCAACTCCCACCTATGAGTGAGAACATGAAGTGTTTGGTTTTTTGTCCTTGCGATAGTTTACTGAGAATGATGATTTCCAATTTCATCCATGTCCCTACAAAGGATATGAACTCATCATTTTTTATGGCTGCATAATATTCCATGGTGTACATGTGCCACATTTTCTTAATCAAGTCTATCATTGTTGGACATTTGGGTTGGTTCCAAGTCTTTGCTATTGTGAATAGTGCCTCAATAAACATACGTGTGCATGTGTCTTTATAGCAGCAAGATTTATAGTCCTTTGGGTATATACCCAGTAATGGGATGGCTGGGTCAAATGGTATTTCTAGTTCTAGATCCCTGAGGAATCGCCACACTGACTTCCACAATGGTTGAACTAGTTTACAGTCCCACCAACAGTGTAAAAGTGTTCCTATTTCTCCACATCCTCTCCAGCACCTGTTGTTTCCTGACTTTTTAATGATCACCATTCTAACTGGTGTGAGATGGTATATCACTGTGGTTTTGATTTGCATTTCTCTGATGGCCAGTGATGATGAGCATTTTTTCATGTGTCTTTTGGCTGCATAAATGTCTTCTTTTGAGAAGTGTCTGTTCATATCCTTCGCCCACTTTTTGATGGGGTTGTTTGTTTTTTTCTTGTAAATTTGTTTGAGTTCTTTGTAGATTCTGGATATTAGCCCTTTGTCAGATGAGTAGGTTGTGAGAATTTTCTCCCATTTTGTAGGTTGCCTGTTCACTCTGTTGGTAGTTTCTTTTGCTGTGCAGAAGCTCTTTAGTTTAATTAGATCCCATTTGTCAATTATGGCTTTTGTTGCCATTGCTTTTGGTGTTTTAGACATGAAGTCCTTGCCCATGCCTATGTCCTGAATGGTAATGCCTAGGTTTTCTTCTAGGGTTTTTATGGTTTTAGGTCTAATGTTTAAGTCTTTATTCCATCTTGAATTAATTTTTGTATAAGGTGTAAAGAAGAGATCCAGTTTCAGCTTTCTACATATGGCTAGCCAGTTTTCCCAGCACCATTTATTAAATAGGGAATCCTTTCCCCATTTCTTGTTTTTGTCAGGTTTGTCAAAGATCAGATGGTTGTAGATATGCGGTGTTATTTCTAAGGGCTCTGTTCTGTTCCATTGATTTATATCTCTGTTTTGGTACCAGTACCATGCTGTTTTGGTTACTGTAGTCTTGTAGTATAGTTTGAAGTCAGGTAGCGTGATGCCTCCAGGTTTGTTCTTTTGGCTTAGGATTGACTTGGCAATGTGGGCTCTTTTTTGGTTCCATATGAACTTTAAAGTAGTTTTTTCCAATTCTGTGAAGAAAGTCATTGGTAGCTTTATGGGGATGGCATTGAATCTATAAATTACCTTGGGCAGCATGGCCATTTTCATGATATTGATTCTTCTTACCCATGAGCATGGAATGTTCTTCCATTTCTTTGTATCCTCTTTTATTTCCTTGAGCAGTGGTTTGTAGTTCTCCTTGAAGAGGTCCTTCATGTCCCTTGTAAATTGGATTCCTAGGTATTATATTCTCTTTGAAGCAATTGTGAATGGGAGTTCACTCATGATTTGGCTCTCTATTTGTCTGTTATTGGTGTGTAAGAATGCTTGTGATTTTTGTACATTGATTTTGTATCCTGAGACTTTGCTGAAGTTGCTTATCAGCTTAAGGAGATTTTGGGCTGAGACGATGGGGTTTTCTATATATACAATCATGTCATCTGCAAACAGGGACAATTTGACGTCCTCTTTTCCTAATTGAATACCCTTTATTTCCTTCTTCTGCCTAATTTCCCTGGCCAGAACTTCCAACACTATGTTGAATAGGAGTGGTGAGGGAGGGCATCCCTGTCTTGTGCCAGTTTTCAAAGGGAATGCTTCCAGTTTTTGCCCATTCAGTATGATATTGGCTGTGGGTTTGTCATAGATAGCTCTTATTATTTTGAGATATGTCCCATCAATACCTAATTTATTGAGAGTTTTTAGCATGAAGCGTTGTTGAATTTTGTCAAAGGCCTTTTCTGCATCTATTGAGATAATCATGTGGTTTTTGTCTTTGGTTCTGTTTATATGCTGGATTACATTTATCGATTTGTGTATATTGAACCAGCCTTGCATCCCAGGGATGAAGCCCACTTGATCATAGTGGATAAGCTTTTTGATGTGCTGCTGGATTCGGTTTGTCAGTATTTTACTGAGGATTTTTGCATCAATGTTCATCAAGGATATTGGTCTAAAATTCTCTTTCTTGGTTGTGTCTCTGCCAGGCTTTGGTATCAGGATGATGCTGGCCTCATAAAATGAGTTAGGGAGGATTCCCTCTTTTTCTATTGATTGGAATAGTTTCAGAAGGAATGTTACCAGTTCCTCCTTGTACCTCTGGTAGAATTCGGCTGTGAATCCATCTGGTCCTGGACTCCTTTTGGTTGGTAAGCTATTGATTATTGCCACAATTTCAGAGAACGCCACAAAGATACTCCTCGAGAAGAGCAACTCCAAGACACATGATTGTCAGATTCACCAAAGTTGAAATGAAGGAGAAAATGTTAAGGGCAGCCAGAGAGAAAGGTCGGGTTACCCACAAAGGGAAGCCCATCAGACTAACAGCGGATCTCTAGGCAGAACCTCTACAAGCCAGAAGAGAGTGGGGGACAATATTCAACATTCTTAAAGGAAAGAATTTTCAACCCAGAATTTCATATCCAGCCAAACTAAGCTTCATAAGCGAAGGAGAAATAAAATACTTTACAGACAAGCAAATGTTGAGAGATTTTGTCACCACCAGGCCTGCCCTAAAAGAGCTCCTGAAGGAAGCACTAATCATGGAAAGGAACAACCAGTACCAGCTGCCGCAAAATCATGCCAAAATGTAAAGACCATCGAGACTAGGAAGAAACTGCATCAACTAATGAGCAAAACAACCAGCTAACATCATAATGACAGGTTCAAATTCACACATAACAATATTAACTTTAAATGTAAATGGACTAAATGCTCCAATTAAAAGACACAGACTGGCAAATTGGATAGAGTCAATACCCATCAGTGTGCTATATTCAGGAAACCCATCTCACATGCAGAGACGCACATAGGCTCAAAATAAAAGGATGGAGGAAGATCTACCAAGCAAATGGAAAACAAAAAAAGGCAGGGGTTGCAATCCTCATCTCTGATAAAACAGAGTTTAAACCAACAAAGATCAAAAGAGACAAAGAAGGCCATTACATAATGGTAAAGGGATCAATTAAACAAGAAGAGCTAACTATCCTGAATATATATGCACCCAATACAGGAGCACCCAGTTTCATAAAGCAAGTCCTGAGTGACCTACAAAGAGACTTAGACTCCCACACAATAATAATGGGAGACTTTAACACCCCACTGTCAACATTAGACAGATCAACGAGACAGAAAGTTAACAAGGATACCCAGGAATTGAGCTCAGCTCTGCACCAAGAGGACCTAATAGACATCTACAGAACTCTCCACCCCAAATCAACAGAATATACATTTTTTTCAGCACCACACCACACCTATTCCAAAATTGACCACATAGTTGGAAGTAAAGCTCTCCTCAGCAAACGTAAAAGAACAGAAATTATAACAAACTGTCTCTCAGACCACAGTGCAATCAAACTAGAACTCAGGATTAAGAGACTCACTCAAAACCGCACAACTACGTGGAAACTGAACAACCTGCTCCTGAATGACTACTGGGTACATAACGAAATGAAGGCAGAAATAAAGATGTTCTTTGAAACCAACGAGAACGAAGACACAACATACCAGAATCTCTGGGACACATTCAAAGCAGTGTGTAGAGGGAAATTTATAGCACTAAATGCCCACAAGAGAAAGCAGGAAAGATCCAAAACTGACACCCTAACATCACAATTAAAATAATTAGAAAAGCAAGAGCGAACACATTCAAAAGCTAGCAGAAGGCAAGAAATAACTAAAATCAGAGCAGAACTGAAGGAAATAGAGACACAAAAAACCCTTCAAAAAATTAATGAATCCAGGAGCTGGTTTTTTGAAAGGATCAACAAAATTGATAGACCGCTAGCAAGACTAATAAAGAAAAAAAGAGAGAAGAATCAAATAGATGCAATAAAAAATGATAAAGGGGATATCACCAGCGATCCCACAGAAATACAAACTACCAACAGAGAATACTACAAACAACTACACAAATAAACTAGAAAATCTAGAAGAAATGGATAAATTCCTCGACACATACACCCTCCCAGGACTAAACCAGGAAGAAGTTGAATCTCTGAATAGACCACTATAACAAAATAATGTTATTCAAAGTTCATCTGACATGCTTTTTCATTTATTCTTCGTACGGTATAGGAAGAATAAGTATATGCTTTTTATGATATACTTAGGTCTTTTCTCAGGTTAGGAAACTCTTCTTCAAGTAAGGCTTTGATAATTGTTTCACTGCAAAGATTGCTGCCTTATTTTTTAGATTTGGATGTCTGTTGTCTGCATTCAACATCAATCATAAGAGGACCCTTCATCATTTTCACCTTGTGTGTTTTAGATAGCTCAAGTAGTTTCTATATAACACTCCTCATATATTGCTTTGGATACATTCTGTTTCTTAATGTTTCCAATGGGTGTTATTTTTTCTGCTGTTGCAGTTAGAGCTTCCTTAAATCCTACTTCTTTACATTTAAAAAACAATTATAAGGGGGCTGCCAAGTAACTTTCCAAAATTTTCTCTTAGCTCCTATTGAAAGCTATTTTCAAAGATAACTGTTCCCCAAGACTTTATGTTGTTTCTGCTTTTTCTTTTCTTTCCAGAGTTTTTGGATTTTTATGTGAGATTTTTGTGTACATTTAGATTGCAGTGAGAAAAGCCCATTCCAAACCCCATGTTTTTCAAAAGAGAGGGTCTATGGAGAACCCTTGGGCACTCTCTGCATCCAATTGGATGCTGGTCAAATTTCTGTCTCATATCAATAGCTGCAATAGATGGATATGAGTAGCCCAGAGCTCAGTTTAAAAGCACCAAGCTGACATTCATCTCGTGTGACCCTGCTGGTTTGAGATGAACCCATAAAATCCATAAAATTAAAAATCTCAATAATCATAGCCCCTAGGAATCTAAGAATTGTTTATTTCCTGTTGTGCCTATAGTGTTGAATTTGCAGGAATGACTTATTGTAGAACAGAATATGTTTCATTTTCTGTACCATCCCCTATTATCCACCCCACACACTCACCAGCAACATATGGTCTTCCTTTCCAGTGTTTTCTCTGAAACTTCAGTTCTGAACAGATATGCTAAGATGGATAAGCAGTGATGGGGCTGAAGGAGAGCGATGCTTTAACTGCACTTTGTGTTCAAGGAGTGGAATATTCAGACATGTTAGACTGAGTATTAAATGTTCACCAAGTCACTTCAACCTCATCCTTCATTTTTAATTTTCTTCATACATTACTGTCAGAAATTATTCTGTTTAATTATAGATTGGTGCAAAAGTAATTGAGGTTTTTGCCATCACCTTCAATGGCAAAACCTGCAATTACTTTTGCACCCAAGTAATATTTTATTATAAACCACAGCACATAGTGCATTCTCAACAAATGTTGCTGTTGGGATGCAGGAATGGATGGATGAATAGATGAATGGGTGGCTGGCTGGCTGAATGGATTGGTGGATGGATGGGTAGTTGTTCAGGATTCTCATTGGTATGGGATTTGTGCTGTTAGTCTGTGTGTCCTGCAGACTAACGGCACAAAGAAAGATAGAAGGTCTTGCTACCTGCTCTCAGACTGGTATAACTCACATTATTTGGCAATACAGAGACTCTCAGTCTTAGTTTTTATTGGGAGTGTAAATTTTGCCTCTTTGCTATGCCTTCGTAGACATTTTGGTGGAAAGTGGTGACAGACAGTGTCACAGGCTGCCAACCAGGTACCACTTTAACCACCAAGACTCTGATAATGTCTCGTTTCCTCCTCCCATCTCTACCCCTTGCTTCCTCTCAGACTCCTCCTACTCTCTGTCTCTCCAGCCATGCCTCCACTTGCAGAATATCCTTCTCTCTACCCACCGTTCATCTTTACCCTGGTCATTTCTTTAGCCACGTCCTCATGCGTATCCAGCATTTCTATCCTGCTGTGTCAAATATAAGACACATTCTTTAACTTTAGAGGGAATTTATATTTTCTCGTCTGTAGTTTTCTGGAAATAGTGGGGAGGTTGTAGGCTGTGATCAATTTGGGAGCCATTTAATGGCAGTAAAATGGGCAAAGCAATATATCGAGAATTCTTCAAATTGATATTTATCTATTTTCATCCAGCCTTAGGTATTTTAATACAGATACAACTTTTACTACCAGCAAACTATAGTTAGTAATTGATTTTTTGCTTCCTATTTCAAAAGCTACAGATAAAAGGACATTAATTTTTAAGAGGCCACTCAATCAGAAAATGCATTCTTCACTTAGAGTGGTCAAAAGAGCAGTGGAGTGGAACTCAGGAAACCAGAGGACTAGCTCTGACTCTGCCACTTACATTGTTTGAAGCAAGGTATTTCTGTTAGGGACCTCCATGGGCCTTCACTCTAACCAACTTTTCTGTCACCTTCATGTACTAAGAGTCTCTGATCCCGTGAGGATGACGTCTACTTGCCCATCACTGCTCCTACCTGAAACCCAAATGTGCCGAAGTTTGGATCCCAGCACAGGCTCAGCATCATCATGGATGATCAGCTCATAGTCCTAGAACTGGCTGTGGAGACTTTTCTGAATATGAACATTGTTTTTAAATCAGTGTTAGTAAACATGGACTCAATATTTACTTGAAAAGAATTATTTCAGTTACAGATTGATGTAGTTCATTTTAACCACCTTGTGTATGAAGGATGAAAAATGAGTGATCTAGTTTTGAAGTAACTACAAAAATTGTGTTTGTATCAACTGTCCTGTTTATTTTTGCTTGTCATAATGAGAGGACATCATTATTAAATCTAAATTATCTCCACCACAGTGTCACTAAATATGATCAGTCAACTATCTCTGCTTCCTTTACTTGAGATCTGTTGAACTAAGGTCAAACTGAGCTCAAGCTTCTCATCCAGATTATGGCAATACACACCTTTCCCCACCAATTGTTCTTTAAAGCATTGTGAGTTGGCTTAGCAATGTCTTCTTCCATCTAAAGGTGGGTCACAGCACTGGCAAATGTATAATGTTGGACTATTGCTGGGAGCCACATACCGCATTAGATTTTTTTTTTTTTTTGGTACGCTAACAGCTCCTCATTTTCTGGCAATGTATGACAGGCAGAACTGTAATAGTTATCCTCATAAGCAATGTGCAAGTTAGATAATTGCAATACTAAACACAATGAATATTCAGTTTGTTTAGGGGCACTGCAGTGAAAAAAAGAAATGCATGTAGTTGTGATCTACCTGTCTCACCAAAACTCACATTTAGTCTTTCCTAAAAATACCTGAACTTCATTAACATCAACTTCACCAGTACTCTTTCAGATGACTGCATATTGAATTAGGCTGAAGGGAAGGGGAACAGTAGCCCATGGGGTCATATCAGACTTGTAATTCTGCTCTTTCCAAAAGACTTACAGTGACAGCCAACCACATTCCAAGAACTGCACTGGTCACCAGAGATGCAGGAGGAATGGGCCATCATTTCTGTGCCCAAGGAGCTCACACAGACTGTAATTACCTCTGGGAATCTCAAAGACCAAAGCAATGTGAAATTTTGTCCACATTGTTCTCAATAGTGACTGAGCTATTCTATATTTGTTCCCTGATCTGTTTTAAGAATGAAAATATAGAGAAATTAGAGTTCAGGTGAGAAGAGTTAAAGTGATTAAGAGGATGGTGAACTCTTCTAACAAGAAACTAATAGCGTGTAGCTTAGTTCAACAGTGGTAAGTGGAGCTCATGATAATGATATATAAATGTTTGAAAAATATAAACAAGAAGGGGCAACATTGTTTAGTATTATTCAATTACAAGTGATTAATAGCAATGCAAAGTAATTATGAAAGGGAAATTAAAAATGGACATAAGGAAAAAAAGTTTTCTTTTGGTCTTGTTTCCTAAAAGAAAATATAGGGCTACATTATAGGAAAGCATTTGCAACTACACAAGAAAATATGAAACAAGCAAGCTAAGAGCAAGTAATTTACCAATGGTAGACTAATTATTTTATTAATTCATTATTAATAAAATTTATTAATTCATTTATCAAATGTTTTTATTCATTCATTTATCAAATTAATTATTCATCAAATGTTTTAGGTTACTCACCTATTTAACATTTTCTTTGCTCCCATGTATTCATGTATTTCATTTGATTATTTTTTTTTTTAACATTTCAGTGTTCCAAAAATTGGGAGACATAGGCAGTAATATATTTTTTAGGAAAATACTGGTGGTTGTAATAAATAATCTGATATTTCAGTAGTCCAACACATTAAAAGTTTGGTTCTCATTCATATAAAGTCCAAATCAAGTGTTTATTAAAGGCAGAAGGATGAGGGTTGGATTGTGGGAGTCGATGGTTGGAGGGGCCCAGATCCATGTAATCATTCAGAGATCCGGGCTGAGGAAGATCCATAAATTCACTGTGATCTCCACAGCCAGCTGGAAGATAAGAGCAGAAAGAGACTGAGGAAGAAGTAACTCCTCCTTACACACTCGGTTCCAGAAGACACTCAGATCAGTTTCACCTATATTCCATTGTTGAGAATTCATGGAATGACATTGCTTGGATGCACTGGGCATTGGGAAATGTGGCTTCTTTCCTAGCATCATCTCTACAACTTTCAGGAGAGCATGAGTTTTTAATGGACAAACAGGTGAATAAAACACACTCAAATTCCTGGCCTCTTGGAAAATACATTTTAGTTGGAGGAAACTGATAGTAATACTATAAAATCATAAGTGAAATAAACATTTTTTTTGTAAGGACATAAACATTGTGATGGTATGTAAAGCCTGGAAGAAGTGCAGGGAGTGTTGGGTGTGCAATTTTAAATGGATAGTTTGGAAGGAGCTCAGTGGAAAAGAGGTATTTGAGCAATTATTTGAATGAGGTGAGAATGTAAATCATGTGGAATGTAACGGGAAATTATTTAAAGCTGCAGCGCAGCAAATGGAAAGCTCATGGGGTGGAATCATGTCTGATATCTTTAGGGAACAGCTGGTGGCTAACCTATTAGGAGCAAAGTAAGCAAAGGTTAGAGAATGGTAGGATATGAGGTCGGAGAAGTAATAGGGTTCTAAACATACAGAGGCCTTAAGAGTGACAGTGAGAATTTTGGCTCTTACTCTGAGGTACAGGGGAAGTCATTAGAGGGTATTGTACAGAGGAGTGAAGTGATTTGATTTATGTTTTAAAAGGATTACTCTAGTTGTTGTTCTGAAAATAGACTGTGGTGCAGTAAGGCAGAAGGAGGGAGACCATTAGAAAGCTTTTTCAATAATTGAGGTGAGAAATGATGACAGCTTAGACCAGAGATATTGAGAAGTGGCTGGATTCTGGGTATATTTTGAAGGTGGAAGTGACAGGATTTGCTCATGGCTTAGTGGTAAGGTGTGATGGAGGAAAGGAGTCAAGGATGACTCGAAGACTTTGTGCATAAAAGACTAAGTGGAAGAGTAGGATTTTTATTAATTGAGATGGGGAGGACTGTACAGGATTCTCATTTAGATGTGGGTGGAGCACATAAGGGTCTTGATTTGGAATGACTTTTAGATATTTAAGTTGAGCTGACAAGTAGGCAGTTAGATATATGAATATGGTATTGGCATGGGGAATGGAGGAATAGATCCAAATATTGAGCTCCAAGGGACTCCAATATTTAGAGGCTGGAGAAGTGGGGAGGAACCAGCAAAGGGGAATGAAAACGAGTGACAAGAGAAAGAAAATCAGAAAAGTCTAGTATTGAGAAAGCCAAGGAAGAGAAGTGTTTGAATTAAGAAAGAATGAGGCTGAGCCAGGAGGATCTCTTGAGCCCACGAGTTAGAGACCAGCCTAGGAAATACAGTGACACCCCAGATCTATAAAAAAAAATAGCCAGGTGTGGTGGTGTGTGCCTGTAGTCCCAGCTACTAAGGAGGCTGAGGCAGGAGGATTGCTTGAACATGTGAAATATAACGGGAAGTTCAAGGTTACAGTGAGCTAGATCATACCAGCACACTCTAGCCTGGGTGACAGCACAAGACTCTGTCTCTCTTAAAACAAATCAAAGAAAGAAAGAAAGGAAAGAAGGGAAAAGAAGAAAGAAAAGAAAGGAAAAGAACAGAAAAGAAAAGCAAAAAGGAAGGAAAAAAGAGCCACAGTCTCAGCTGCTGCTGACAGGTCAAATAAAATGAAATAGAGAGGTCATTGGTGATCTTGATGAAAAAAGAAAAAAGAAGCCGAGCGCGGTGGCTCACTCCTGTAATCCCAGCACTTTGGGAGGCCGAGGCGAGCAGATCGAGGTCAGGAGATCGAGACAATCCTGGCTAACACAGTGAAAACCCATCTCTACTAAAAATACAAAAAAAATAGCCAGGCATGGTGACAGGCGCCTGTAATCTCAGCTACTCGGGAGGCTGAGGCAGGAGAATGGCCTGAACCCAGAAGGCAGAGTTTGCAGTGAACCAAGATTGCACCACTGCCCTCCAGCCTGGGCGACAGAGTGAGACTCCGTCTCAAAAAAAAAAAAAAAAGAACAACAACAAAAAACAGTTTTAGTGTAGTGATGAGCAAAAACTGACTGGAGTGAGGTAAAGAGAAAATGGAAAAAGGCAAATTGGTGGTAATTATTTAATTTTTTTATCTAATTGTTTTGAGGATTTTTTCTATAAAAGGAGCAAAGAGCAAAGTGATAGGGTGATAATTAGAATAGGAAGTAGACACAAGGAAGGGATTTCAAAATGGGAAAAATGACAGCACATTTGTAAAGCGATGAAAAATTTACAATGCAAGAAAGAGAAGGGGAGTTAATATGCAACAATCTTATGTCGATGAGAAGGGCTGGAACAGGCACTCTAGTGAAGGGACTGGAGATAAAGGCAGGTTTATCTGTAATGGTTCAGATTAAGGAGTGAAATGCATGGTAGGCTTGTGTGAGTTCCCTTTGAATTTCTCCTTTTGTTCTTAGGAAATAAGAAGCACAGGTCATTCAGAGGAGAAGATGTGAAATCATTCTTTAAGGGAATAGGATAGTGAATGGAAAACGGAAATCTTCCCAGGCAGTTTCGAAGACCACTTGAGGCTAATGGTCATGTGTGGAAAGCAAAATCATTCAACCTTGTGCCTTTTAAAAAATTTTGTCCCATCATAGTACCTGTGTGGGAGTGTGACTATAGCATAATGGAGAATTTTGTTTAGCGAGTTAGACATTTTTTCTTGGTCAGTACAATGGCATGAGAGATGGTTAAGGAGTTTAATACTTGAGCAAGAGAATTATTAAAACAGCATGCTGGAGATTCTAAGCTTGGTCAGGTGGGTGTGATGACTTTAAAGAGTTGAATATGGTAGTAAAATGGTGAAAGGATTAGTGTATTTGAAAAAAAAAATTAGTGTTATGCTACTGAAAGGAATGCCATAGGCTCACTCTGATAGGAATCTTTGAAGCTAAAAGGATGGAGTGGTTAGTTGTTGGTAATGAGAAGATTTAGATACAATTATAGAAGTGAGGGGCTAAAGATGATTGCAGAATAAAGCCACAGGAAATCAAAGAATGGAGAGGCTGAAGTATTGGAAGGATCGTCAAACTTGTTTAAATCTGAGAATTTTGACAGGAACAGTGTAGATGTGACACAGAGCCAGGAACTACAGTCTTACAGCTATGACATTCCATCTGGGATTTTTCAAGTATCTCATTGAAATTTTCTTTTTTAACAGTCTAGTTGGGGTTAGCTCTGAGTTTTTGTTTAAATAGAAATGTTTTTATTTTGACTGTAGCTTTCAAAGATGCTTTTCTGGCTAGAATTCCAGGTTAACAATTATGTTCTCTTAGCATTTTCGAAATATTGTTCCATTGCTTTCTGACTTTTGTGTTTGCTATTGAGAAGCCAGTAGTCTAATTATTGTTTATTGTGGATGACTTTTTTTCCCACAGCTGTTTTTTAAAACTTCTATTTATTTTTACACTGCAATTTCAGTAGGATTTATCTACGTGTAGAATTCACAACCTTCTGATTCTGATCATTGTTATCTCTCATTAATTCTGGAAAATTCCCATGAATTTTTACTCCAAATAATCATTGTCTTTATTTTCTATTAGGATTTTGCACTT
The DNA here is from genome assembly GCF_000001405.40 of Homo sapiens. Taxonomy (NCBI): domain Eukaryota; kingdom Metazoa; phylum Chordata; class Mammalia; order Primates; family Hominidae; genus Homo; species Homo sapiens. The sequence goes on from NC_000010.11 coordinate 82,057,067, forward strand.
TATACTGCTTGTTGGATCTTTCCACTCTATTATCCTTTCCTTAAAATATTTCTTTCCTATTTTCCATCACCCCTTATATGTGTACTTCATTTCTTGTATTTTCTTCAGATATTTTTTCAATGTACTAATTTTCCTTTAAGCCATATCTGATAGTCTTTTTAACGTTACATTTTTCATTTCTATAGAGTTATTTGGTTCTTTATCAAATACGTATGTATAATTTTGTTAGTTCTTTTTTCCTAACTCCTACTCCAATTTCTGTTATTTATTTAAACATGTTACACATGCATGATTTATAGTCTCTGTGTCATAAGTCCAATATCTGTTGTTCTTTGGTGTTTAATTCTGTGGTATGTTGGTTCTGCCTACACGTATACATGGCAGCTTATTTCCTCATTTGTATAATAATTTTTTAAATTCTTTTGATCTTTGATCCTTTGAAATTGTTGGGGTAATTTTTAGGCTACATTTAAATTGTCTTCAGAAAGGATTTCTAGGCTACTTTCAGATAACTAGAGGCCTTAGCAATCTATAACTACTTTAAATTATACTTTAAGTTTGGGTGGGGAGTGGACAAGGGTATGATAAATTTTGTTTCAAACATGAGGGCAAATTTTTGTTTAAGAATTATCAAGAGAGTTCTCCTTCTCCTTCACTGCCTCCTCTTCGTCCTTCTTCGTATCTACTTTAGGCCAAAGCTAGGACCTTCATTCTAAATGAGTTACCATGTATCAGGGATTCAAGATACTCACAGGGAGTCTTCAATCTGGCCTTCTACCTTAGTTCCTTATTTGCATGGCCGACTAAAACTCAGACTCCGGGCCACCAGTGATTGGCATATAAACTGAAGAAAACTTCCCATTCTAGTGCTTGCTTACTCATGTGGATTCTCTCTTTCTTTCCTTTCTTTTTTTTTTTTTTCTTTGTAAAGCCTTCTAAAGAATTCCCTTACTCTCCTGTGACTACAGTCGTGCATTAAAAACCGATTATTTGATATGTTATATTATTAATTGTGCTAAATGGGAAATAAGGGGTGTCATGTTCTGGTAACATTTACTCAAACTTTTATATATACAAGTCTCATTGGGTGCTTCATCTTTGTGTTTTCTCTTTTTTCCAGGGCTCTATGTATATTAAGGATAGCAATTCTAGGCCATACATAGCAAGTTATTTTTTTCCCTAGTTTGTTATATCTAGTTTTAACTTTGATAAAAGTGCTGTGTTTTTCTTCTTAAGACCTTTTAAGTTTTTATATAGTCAAATATATTGATCTTTCCTTTTAAGTTCTCTGCATTTGATTCCATGCTTAGAAAATTGTCTCCGTCGATACCATAAAATTATTTTTTAATCTGATATTTCTTCTAGTTCTTCCTAGAATTAATATTTTCAACGACCCGTTTCATCTGTAGAATATAAATGACTCCTTTTATGTGGTGCAGAATGCTTTTATGTATAGGTATGCCTTCAACTTTCTATTATATTCTATCTATATAATATATATTTATAAATATACTTTTTCTAGAAAAAATTAGCTTAATTTAGGTCATATTGAGTAGTTCCATCACAAGTTTTTTTATTTTGATTTTTTTCCCTTCTCCTTCCTTTAGTCATCTCACAAGTTTTTGGTGTTTTTTCCTAAGGAAACATGGAAGGTCATTCTACTTTGCCTCAGGCCTTGAGAACAAAAATGAAAAAGTTGGACACATCAAAACCCTAAATCTAGGCACTACAGACAACTGAAGAGGCAGTTCTTATTTAGGGTGATATATTCTTTAATAGAAGATACTCTGCTTGCCATGGGAACGTATATAGGAGGTGCGTCTGACCTGGACAATACAATCAGGAAAAGCTTCCTGGCAGGGGTGATTTGAAGTCTGTATTTCCAGTATGTGGGGAATGGTGGAGAAGGAGCAAGAAAGTCATGCCGAGGCAACATGTGGGACGTTTCCAGTGAGACAAAGCAGAATTATTTGAAAAACTAAAACAGTAGTTCAGTTGGGGAGAGGTATACATTGTGATGTGCAAATGCTGCAGAATGAAGCCGGACAGGAACAAGGGCCAAGCAATGAATTGTGGATGTTTTATTGAGAGCAATGAGATGCATTGAAAGGTTTGAAACTGTGGAATAATGTGATCAAATCTGTATTTTTTGAACAACATCTAGGCTGTAGCACTTTTTATACTGGATAGAAAATGACAAAACCCTTAGAGGGATGGGCTGATTTAGAGGATATTGCTGTAATGTAGGTGGAAAGTAACTATGGCCTAGTAAATGTGGAAGGACACAGATACACTCAGTAGATATTTCAGGGTGAATGGCCAGATTAGGTAATGACTAAGATAGCAAGGATGGGAGAAAAAGAAGAATCAAGGAGGTGACTAAGCTTTTTTCTTGAGCAACTGGTAGATTGAGTTAACATTTTCTGAAAAACGTGATAGAAGGAGGAGCTGTTTCTAGGAGGGAAATAAATAATTTGGCAGGAGACTTTTTGAACTAGATATCTATTGAATAACAAAGTGACAATGTTCCCCATCCTCTCATTTCCATTCCCAATTTTACTTCTCGTCCCAATTCAAATCATTCTTACTTATGATCGGCGCTATGTCAGTGCCTCTCAGCTGGTCTTCCCAGACCCAGTACACCTAATCAATCCATCCTACACCAGGATGGATTCTTCGCTTTCCATACTTGTGGCTTTGTTTATTCTGTCCCCTCCCCTGGGAGACCCTTCTGCCTACATATCTTAAAGCCTATCTACAAGGACACCTTCATGTCCTAGGTACCACCAGTGGCTTCTGATATGTTCCCTTGATGATCAGCCATAACATTGTATTTGAATATGTTGTAACTTAGTATAGAAATCATGGGTACTGGACACAGGCAAAACCACCTCTGCCACTTGCACGGCCCTGGACCCCAAGGAAATCAACTGCTCTAAACTTCTGTTTCCTCCTTTAAAAATGGGTGTAATAATAAAGACCTTGTTTGTTGTGAAGGATACAATTAAGATTGGCACAATATCTGACTCCCCCACACAGGAATTTCATTTCATAAATGGTAATTATTACTCATATTGTCTACAAAGCCATTTCTCACAGTCTGTTGCTATAGTAGTCACTTACGTGTCTGTATCTCCTTATATGAAGGCATGAGCATTTCCTTTATTGTCTTCACAACAATTAATAAGGACAAGCACAATGTAGGTACACAATATATGGCATGCATGAATGTTTAAATAATGAGAGTTACTAGGAGGATAGAGAATTACAGAAAAAAGACTTGCTTAAACTGAAATATTTCTTACTGTGTGCCATAAAGTGCTGAGGGGTGCTGTCTTCTACCATGAATCCTTCCAGCCTGAACTGCAATGATTTTAAATTTTTTGACAGTTCTGTTCTCCCTAAGAGTAGTAATTTTGGTGGTTATGCATAGATCAAAGATGCAATAGGGAACGTTTTAAGTGATGTTGTAAATAATGATTTCAAGAATGTGCTTTAATTTTTATTGAATATCATCTGATTAGCAATCTTGTTTTTGTTTTAGCCTTGTGAATATTTATTCTAGCATAAATGAGTACAGTAATTTCTAATGCAAATATTGTCCACCTGGGTTTCCTGATGTCTGTATGGATAATTCACCTTGTTCTTTGTTAGTGGAATTATTGGTGCCTCTCAGGTTGGAAGATGCCTGTACTGACCTACCTGTGGCCAGTAGAAGGTGGGAAGACCTGCATATTGCCTCTACTCAACCTCTTTCTCCCAGTAACTAAGAAGCCTGGACTGGGCTGGTTGGTGCGGTTCGCTCTTTCTGACTCTGGTTGTCTCATTCATGCCAGTTCGGGTGACACTTGTGAGAGGAAGGAGTTCAGTCTTTGAGGTCAGGCCTGTCTGGCTCCCAGGCCCACCACTGCCACTTCCTATGTTTGCAATCTGGAAATAGCTCCATATGTTTTTTGAACCCAAGTTGTATTGTTTTGGTTTGGTTTCAGTGTATGTAGGTATGTGATAATCTTTGGTGGCTTACGTCTGTAATGCCAGCACTTTGGGAGGCAGAGGCGGGTGGATCACGAGGTCAGGAGTTCAAGACCAGCCTAGCCAATATGGTGAAACCCTGTCTCTACTAAAAGTACAAAAATTAGCCGGGCGTGGTGGCGGGTGCCTGTAATCCCAACTACTTGGGAGGCTGAGGCAGAAGAATCCCTTCAGCTCAGGAGGCGGAGGTTGCGGTGAGCCAAGACTGCGCCACTGCTCTCCAGCCTGGGCAACAGAGCAAGATTTTCCCTCTCAAACAAAACAAAACAAAACAGAAAAACAATAATTTTAAAACAGGTAGGGTGACCCCCATTTACTCCTTGGAGATCTAGTTGAATTTATATTGTTCTTCCAATTCTCAGGTCTGCAGAATTTAAAACTCTCCCCAAGGTTTTTACAGAGTTTCCACCTTGGATGTTCTCCTGGTCCCCTCTACCTCCAGCTCCCGTGCTGTGGTCATTGCTGCCCTTCAACCCATATCCGTCATAATAAGAAACTTGGGCTTTCTACCAGTTTCCTTTTAAAAATCCACTTGCATGTGTTTGTAGAGTGAGCTCAGTGAATGCTGGGGTATCATGATGGAGTCACACTGCCTTTAGGTCTTTACTTGGATTTCTGTTTTCCCCCTCTTCTCCCATTTCTGGATTAAGCCTTCTCTCCATAACTGCTCTCTTCCCTCCTTCACCTTTTTTCTGTCTGTCTCCCTCCTTTCCTTCTGTTCTCTTCTTTCTGTCAGTGTCCCTTTCTCTCTCTCTCTCTCTCTCACACACACAAACACACACACACACACACATACATCTCTTAAAAGGATAGTGATACTTTACCAGTTGATTTACAAAAATTTAAAAGCAATTATATATAGAAATTAGTCAGTGAGCTGCATGGTGCAAATCTATATTGGTCTTTCCTTTTCTTTGCTTTTGATGACCAAAGAATAGCTATCCAAAGATAGCTTTGGGTTGCAGCTGCTGCCAGGTATCATGCAGTCTGGACATTGGGCACAATGTGTCAGCAGAACTGGGGGTGATCCAAGCAGCCCGGGAAACAAAGCCCTGCTTGTATCTCTAGAGTGTTCTTTCCCCTGAAGAGGCCCAAGGTCCCTGAGAGCTCAGCATAGCTCATTTCTTTATTATCTGCCACAGTCTTCAGTCTCCTCTGGATGCCAGAGGGGAGCAGATTGGATTTCTGGGAGAGTCAACAAATAGAAGTTCTAAGAATTAAGGCAGGCCGGGCATGGTGGCTCACACCTGTAATCCCAGCAGTTTGGGAGGCCAAGGCAGGTGGATCACCTGAGGTTAGGAGTTTGAGAGCAGCCTGGCCAACATGGTGAAACCCCATCTCTACTAAAAATACAAAAATTAGCTGTGCATGGTGGTGTGCGCCTGTAGTCCCAGCTACTCAGGAGGCTGAGGCAGGAGAATTGCTCTAACCTGGAAGGCAGAGGTTGCAGTGAGCCAAGGTCACGCTACTGCAGTCCAGCCTAGGGGCAGAGCAAGACTCCATCTCAAAAAAAAAAGAAAAAGAAAAAAAATAAGAATTAAGGGAAAGCTGGCTCCCAGGCAATGGGATGGAGCAGAATATAGGGGCATGAGATGGAGAGGCTATGCTGTCTTTCTCCCTTTTGATGATGCTACTGGGGAAAAGTATCATCATCAAAATGTGGAAGGGAAACCAAAAATGAAGGGAAGGTACTGAAGAGAAACAAAAATGTGCTGAATCCACTCTTAGGAAAATGACTGGTCTTTTTCCTTGCTGTGTATTCAGAGCATACCTACTGCTAGAGCTACTGAATCTGTGCTTCTGGAGTGGTTTGGCCATTTGCAGCTCCCTCATTTGAGGACTAATATTGCCATTCTGCTGTTCTAAGCAGCCATTATCTGCCGCCCACCCCACCAACTTGATACCCCATTAGTGTTAGGGTACATAACAGTACCTCAGCCAAGGACTTGAGTACCTCCAGGCAAGTCACTCACTCAACATTGTGGTGTCTTCTTCAGTGATAGAATGGAATACCTGGGCAATCCCAGGAGTCCCCTCCACCTCAAACAATTCAGTTCTTCTGTGGTTCTACACTTATGATTCTTTTGATGAGAGTATTCATGGCTGTTTTCTCATTTTTATGTCACTAACTATCACTGGAAATGCATTTTAGGTTTATCATCATTTTACAGTCTCAAGTTTCTGTTTTTTTTTCTTTATTTTATACCAAGACGCAAATGTGAAAAAAAAAAGGAAATAGAAGTATTACAAATATCTTAGCTTATAATAGCAGACCAAAAGTAATTGGAAGAAACATGAGATGAGAAAGTATAAACATATTTTTAACATAACTCTGCTGTTCTACTGATAAACAATTTCTGCTGCTCTATTTGTATAGAGACAATCAATATATTTTTTAGAGGCAGGAAAAGATCTTTTTTTTTTTGTCAGATGAAATGTTGCTTTCTAAGGATAGTCAATCGGTGCCCTTAATAAACCCATCAGCCCTTGTGTCTTGGTATAGCATTATTGGTAGAGGTAATTATAGAAGCTAATATTTGGTAACTAAAGAAAGAAAACTAAAGAAACTAAAGAAAGAAACTAAGCTAAAGAAAGGAACTAAAGAACTAAAGAAAGGAACTAAATAGCTGAAGAAAGAACTAAAGAACTAAAGAAAGAAAGTAAACTGGGAACTAAAGAAAGAAAAATGATGTATTCAAAGGGAGAGCAAGTCCCTCCCACCATCGTTTGATCTATCAGGTGTGATTTGCCTGCTGGCTTACATCATGGAAATTTTACTTCCATTTTTTAACAACATAGCTGGGAGAACAAAGAATCTCAAAAACGTTTTAGTTGTAGAGAGGGTTTACTGCCCTGATGAATGACTGATCTGTATTTCTGAAAGGAATCTTCTGCCTCTTATCATGATCCAGTCTTGTATTTTTTCTCATGGTGACAGTGATGTTGTACCTCATGTCAACATGAAACATAATTTTTCCCAAACAAACTTTTAAAGATAGGGAAACAACATTGACATGTTCTGGTTTGGAATTGTATCAGTGAATTAAGGAATGGATTTAAGGAAAGATCATTAGACCAAGAGTCAAAATAACTCTGTGGTCCAATCCTGCATAGCTTATAGTCCTGAGATCACAGGAAATTCACCTAAGACAGGATCATTCTAGTACCATGGAGATTTGCCTGGTCCACCTCACAGGGCTCTCATGGAGATCCATTTAAGTGAAATATACTAACTAAAGGTAATCATTTTCTTATGAAATATCAAATATATATAAAAATAATATATTTATTATAAAACAATAAAAATCCCATTCACTAATCATTATTGAATACACATTTTAAATAATCATTTGCTGAACAAATATAAAGAAAGCATGAAGCCTAGGAGATGGTGGAAAAATGACTTATACGCGTTGAAAAAAAAAGCATCAAGATGTCAATAGATTTGAGTAGCTAACTAAATTAGATATAATCTTTGATGGATAAATGTAAAGCTATAGACGGACGATCAAGGAGTAATGCATGAAGATGAGATGGCCTGATGCACACTTATGAGCATTTAAGTACAAGAGAAATCTGAGCCAAGAGAATGCCCCAAAAGTTCCTGAAGTTCTGGTAAGTGCTGATGGAAGGGGTGACCCACAGCCTCCACCTGGAGTTTAGACATCCCCTTTAGCTGAACATTGTCCTCTCCTGAAAGTTTGCTGAATAGTGAATTTGGAGATAGCAAGAACCTTTATCTCTGTATTTTTAATGGAAGAAGAATTATTCAAAACTCCAACCAAAGTCCTCAGTATGTTGAAGATACTCTTAAATACCCATATAACAACTATTCATGCACACATAAAGAATTTCATACATCCATTGCCCTGTTATTTAACACTTAAACTTGTTCTTTGAAATATTTGTGTGCAGAAGCTGAGCAGTATCAGAGACAAATTAAATTTTCATTTCATAACAAACATCTATCTCAATATACTTTATCATTCCAACTTTTCTTCTAAAATAATGGATTTTCAAGGCCTTTAAAACTCACTGACTTTCTTCAAAGGCTTTTTGACTTCCGTAGGAGACATATTTACGTAAAACTATGAGGGGAATTGAGAGTGATAATGAAAAATCCATCTATTAATAGCAAGCACAAGCAGGAGATGCTTGTTATTAGAATAAAAACACATAGACAATTGCAGAACACTCTGCTTCCTCTCACCAGGTCTGGCCTGCAATTAGACATTTTCACTGATGTGTATAAATAGAGTGGGGTTTAGAGTTTGATAATAACTTTTAGGTAAAATTTATTGTATATCATTGTAGCAAACATTCGTAGAATGAGAGTACATATAGTGAAAGATATATACATTGTGTCAGTTTGTGTCACTGGGAAGGATTCACTATCTGCCTTCTTAATGTGACACAGTAATTCAATTAATTGTGTAGGACTCCAGTCCCTGGCACATAGTACATGTTAAAAAAAAATTTGCTGAATTACTGACAGAAGGGGGAAGAATATAGACTACTGCATTGGGGTTATCAGTAGAGAGTACATAAAGAAAAATGTTTTTAATAATTAAAAATTCTAGTTAGAAAATAAAAAAGGAGATAGTGTGTTCTGTGTCTCTAGATGGACCCTTGCAGGAGGAGGAATATTTTAGGAATTTCGCTGAACAGATTCATCCCTAGTTGGATTTTTAGATGCAATAACCAGAAAAGATCCTCCCACCAATCCAAAGTCTCTGATTATCTGTTCAAGAATTTGTATATCCCAACTCTTTGTGTAGTTAAAAATTATAAATCAAATTGCTCTTTAATCTAGTTTTTATGTCAGGAACAAAACTCACATTTCAATTTAGAAATTTTGCAAAGGCCTGTTTTCCATTGCTATCATCATTTTTATTATTGTCTTAACCTTTACTTTTAAAAATCTATCATTTTAACATTATAATCATTAGAAGAAATGAACGTGAACTAAAATGTATGTATTTTGTTTCATTTTTAATTTAACCATGTCTTTTACAAGTTAATGAGGATATTAATTTTTCAAATATAATTTTTAGTTTCTTTATTTTGCCTAAAATCTAAAAATAACTACCATATAAAACAAATATTATCTTGTTCACTCATCTTGGGAATATTCTTAGTACAAGAATGTGTTTATGATTTAATTGATGAAGAATGTAAATATACATCTACACATATTCATATGTATTAATTTTCATGTATTATATATGCATAAATTACCTTTTCAATGTACATATGTGCATATATTTTGTGTAAATGTACACTCTGTCTATCAGTAAATTTGTAGACATGCCTATGGGATTTGCAATCTAGTTAAGTTATTTCTTACTGTTACGTACTTTTCTGTTTTACTTATGGTTAACTGATGCAGGGAAGGCAGAGGCAAGGGACCCTCATTTTGGTATCCTATTTGGGGGCCTCTGCAATATGTGCTTTCTGGAGCCTGGACCATGCATACTAAGCTTTGTGGACTATCAGAGGTCCTACAAGCACACAATATTTAAAATTCTATAAGATCCATGTCTGCTGAGTACTTACCTGAGTGATTCACTTCACGAAGACCTGAAGGAAGTCAATGCAACATTTATGTTTCCATTCTCTCTACACCAGTGAGTATAATGTTCTTAGGACCAGTAAACATTGGGATCAGCCATATGTTGGGAAGACACCAGCTAGTTCACCACCCATGGTACTTAGACCTATTCTTTTTTTTTTGAGTCATGATTAATGAATCCTATCATACTGGCTGTCAGAATTCTTTGGATTCAATTTGTAGATACCCTTGTCCATAGACTCATTAAGACAATTTTCATATTAGTGTGAATCAACATATATAAGTAACTTGAGTAACTCCTCCCAAGAATGCCCTTCTACTTTTAGCTATTAGATCCTAAATATACAAAAGTTAAGAGGCTTTATAGAATACAACTGCAAATTTTATTTCTTACTATATTCTGTTGAATTTTTCTCAGTTTGATTTTTTTTAAAAAATGGCAAATATAACAAACCCCAAAACAGTGGAGCACTTCTATTTCATTGTCAAACCCAATTGACAAAAATTTGAAGTTAGTGGAATTTTTTTGAAGGAAAATTTATCCTTGAAGTCATCAACTATTGTAATTCATGCTTTAGAAAAACAAGCATTAGGACTGAATTGTATTTTCTTTTAAATTCATTTATGTTAATTATTGTAAAGAAATTTTCCCACTCTACTTTTGTTCCCCATTTGCTGTTTGTTGTTGTCGTGGTTTGTTTGCTTGCTTTGGAGACAGAGCCTTGCTCTATCCCCCAGGCGCAATCTTGCCCACTGCAACCTTCTCTCCCCGGTTCAAGCCATTCTCCTGCCTCAGCCTCCCAAGTAGCTGAGATTACAGGTTCCTGCCACCATGTCTGGCTAATTTTTATATTTTTAGTAGAGACGGGTTTTCGCCATGTTGGCCAGGCTGGTCTCAAACTGCTGACCTCAGGTGATCCGCCTGCCTTGGCCTCCCAAAGTGTTGGGATTATAGGTGTGAGCCACCACACCTGGCCTGTCTGTTTGCACTCCTGCTGACAGCACCAGTGGATTGCTATTGTGTTTTTCAGAGAGGAACCACCAAATCAGAACTGTTAGACCTCAAACAGTTGTTTTTGACACAGAGTGGTGGAAGGGAGCCACTCAAGAAACCTTGCTTTATTATCTTAATGCTCTCAAAGCAATCTTTGTCATTTCCTTTGAATAGCACTTTGCGAGTTTCACTTGACATATGGCATGGCCCTCAGGGATATAGGCATTTGCTTTTCAGTCTAAACAAAAATCAAGTTTATAATTTTTATTTTTGTAACAATTTATGTCAGTATTCATCACAGAAAAGCATATTCCTCTTTTTCCTTCTGACTTACATTCCTCCTCAAGCTACCTGTAAGTAATGATCTTGAACAGTACACAACTGACAAGTGTTTCCTGCGTCGAAGAATGGTTGAGTGTGTGAGTGTAGAACAATAGAATTATAGTTTATAAATACTGGGATTTCAGGACTAATGTAATAAGGAGAAACCATCCTTCCTTTTTATAGCTTTGAGGGAATTGCAGGAACAACTACTGCAGCTTACAGTAGAACATAACTGTTTAGAATGCCTTTTAACAATTAGTATTTAGTGTCTCACTTTATTTCTAAGGCCACTGCACGTGATACAGAAGCCTGATGACAGTAGCATCCACATTCTTTTAAAAATGTGTAAAATAAGGTTATAAATGTTTACTTTTACAAAAATTCATTGATTCCCTCCTTTATTCAATAAAATGTATCAAGCACATACTACATGATAGGCTCTGTATTAGGTACCCATGTGCAAAATAGACGTTTCCTGCCCTTGAGAAGCGTACAGCTTAGTTGAGAAATTTACTAGTCACATAAAACCACAAATAAATGTATAAGGTAAGCTGTGATACTGCTATTATGAAGAGGCACAGGATGCTGTAAGAACACATAAATAGGGGTTTCAATGAAGGCTTGCTTAAGGTGTTAATATTAGAATTGAGCTGTAAAGGATGAAAATGAATTGCTTAGATGAAAGAGGTGACACCAGAGGGAGCGGGCAGGGAAAGGGGGAGAGTGTTCCAGGAATGCAGAGAGACAGTGGGAAGAAATGAGGTCATTTAAGTGGCCAAGCCAGGTCAAGCTGGGCTTGTTAGTCACTAACATATTTTGTTTTTTATCCTCAGACTATAAAGTATGGAATGAAATAATCGTATTTGTGTACTTAAAAATCACTCTGGATGCTATGAAAATATAATGACATTGAGTACTGCTTTCAATAAGTCACAGTGGAATCTTGCAAATATTTAAAATAAGTCAACCACCAAAACAAGAATTGTATTTGAGTTAACAGCATGTCCACAGAAGGGTTTAATTGGATTAGAGCTTTGAAAACTGTAAGTAGAAACACAAATTGCTTCAGAGAATTTATAATCCTGGAATGATATTTCCCATGCCCAGAGAGAAACCCATTCCTCTTGTTACTGTCTTCAGAACCACAGAGCATGTCATTAAATAGCAGCTTAGATGGCTGTGCAGGCCTACTAGGGTGCAGATGGATTGGATAGGGGTCAGGTTGCATTGGAGTTTCTTAGAAGCTTCACTTCACCTAACGTTGGCAAAACAGCTGGACCTCAGAGAACTGCATGCACGAGGTACCAGATACACGAAAAGAGGCAAAGCGTGACACAGTGAAATAACAGGTACTGATGTTGAGACTTGTGAGGTGGCGCCTGGTTTCTAGACCAGGAAGTTTTCTTACTCATCTCTTCTTACAATGGGTGAGGCACCGGGCACACATGAGCGTATTTAACTTTCCAACAGCCATGTGAGGTATAGAGTGTCAGCTCCTTTTTAATAAGTGAGAAAAATGAGGTTTAGAGAATTTAAATACTAATACCCAAAGTCATACGGGGCATGAGGACAAGATTCAGACTCATGTCTGCCAGCTCCAAACCAGGATTTATCTGAGCTTATGTCACTCATTTAAAATTGGTATTTGAATTCGTATTTATTTTTGAAGGTGTTCATACAAAGAAAACAAAAAGAAACGGAGTCTGGATTGTAGAAAACATATAAAACCTATATCAAAAATCATCTAATAGTGATAGATAGAGAAGTTTCATATTGAAATAAGCTTTTAGAAAACTGCTCTGGTAAATTAATTGGTACAAACTAAGAATAAAAATGGGATGGTTAGCATAGCTTGTTTGTCACAAGAAACAGAAACTTCACCTGCCTTTTTCCCTGTGAAGTGTTGGTGCAGTGACAGGATTCGCCTCTCTTATTAATAGTCTGTCAAAATCCAGGAAAATCATGTGATGCTTCAGAGATTTTTCTACTGAGTGAATATATTTGATTAAACACCATCTGCAAAAATCCTCATCACCCAAGAAAATAACAGATCGTAGATCTAACACATGCTTTACATGTGTCAAGAAATATGTTGGTCAAATCAAGAGATAAGCACATAGGTTTATCTGAAGTCCAACTTAAAACAGCTGCTTTCAAATTCCTTGCTAAGCCAGGAAGCTTGACTGATGGGACCCAGAGTGATCTCCCTGTCTCCCCTCCTAGCTGTTTCTTCTCACCTCTGAAGTTACTTTTTCCACATTGAGGGGGCCTTTCATGAGTACCAGGGAGAATGAGTCAATTGAGTTCATGCAAAAAAAGAATCCCATCCTTTCAAGAAAGGAGGGAGAAAAGAGGAGGGAAAGAAGATATTTAAGGGGTTTTGCTATTTTATCTGGCTTAAGTTAAACTTGTAATGTCAAAAAATAAAGTCTGAGGAAAATATGAGTAAATTTTATCTTTCCTTGAGGTGGATCCTTTTTAGTCATTGGAGCAAAGTCAAAAACTGTAACAGAAAATATTGATAAATTTAATATAAAAATGTTAAATGTTATTGTGTCAGATGAAGATAAATACAATTAAATTTAAGTGACAAACTGGAAAAATAATAATGACATTAATTACAGAATAAGTATATTAGGTAAATAAAAGCTCATAGTTTAGTAAGAAAAAGATAAATGATAGGAAAAAAACGAACAAAGGATATGACTAGGCAGGTCACAAAAGAAGAAATAAAAACTACCAAGAAACATTTAAAAACATTTCAATCTTGTTGGTGTTCAAAGCCACACAGATGAAAACAATATTTTTGCCTATCAAATTAATATATTTTTACAATGTAACCCCCATTGTTTATGTAATGAAAAAGGCACAACTTTCCTTATTGGCAAGTTGGCAATATGTCACAAGTCAGTATAATGTCTAAACTTATCCAGTAATTTACCTTTGTAAAATTGTTCAAAAGAATACTTGGACATGTATGCAGTTATTTGTGCTACATAATTATTTATAATGGTGAAATATCTTTAATAAATGTAATGTCCACCAATAGAGGATTGGCTACTTAATTTATGTACTCTGCCCCGATAGTACCCTGTAAACTCAGTTTTTAAGTCTCCACAAATTTATGTTAATTTTTATCATTCATTGATTCAATAACTAAATATCCATTAAGTGCCTACTGAGTGTGTTGGGTACCCATGAAGACACAGGTGATCCAGCAGTGGGCAAACAGAGGAAAATTCTTGTCATACTAGAGAACCAAATGATTCAATGACAATGAGTAAAGCATGTTTTGCATCAGATGGTGAGGAGTGCCATTGAGAAATGCTGAGCAAGGATGGGGATAATGCTAGAGTTAGGTGGAGGAAGGGACAGTGTGATTTTAAATAGGGTGTTAGGGAAGGCTTAGTGATAAAGTGACAAGTGATTCAAAACTCGCCTGATATGAGGAACAGAAACCTGCTGATATCAGAGAGAAGGGCATCCCAGGCAGAGGAAGGGCGCAATGGAAGCCTTGAGGGGAGAGCATGCTGGATGTGTTTGAATAACAGCAGAAGGGACACTGTTGCTGAGCAAAGAGAACCAATGGCAGAATAGCAGGAGAAGAGGTTGCAGAGAATGAAGAGAACCCCATAGGCCATTGTGAGGATGCGGGCTTTTTACTCAGAAAGGGATGGGAAGCTGTTGGAGGGCTTGGTTGATGAAGTGACATTATTTTACTTACATTTCAACATCATCACTCTGGACACTGTGTCAAGAATTGGCTGAAGGGACGCTGTGGAGCCAAGGAGACCATTTAAGAAGCTATTGTAATAATGAAGGAAAAAGATGTTGGGAATGTGAGCTGTTGTAGTAAGGGTGGAGATAGTAGGGAAGGGTTTGGTTGATATACTTGAAAATTTTATATTGTTTGAATGTCTTAATTTTATTTTTAATAAGCAATATGTTTACATGATTCAAAAGTCAAAATTATTTTAAAAGTGCATACACACAGTCCAGTCCTTCTGAATCCCATTTTATTAATTACCTATTTGTTCTTCCAATGGTTCTTTATATGTATATGTCTACTCCTGTAGGGTGTGTGTATGTGTGTGTGAATAAAGGAAGGCATCAAATGGATTATGCTAGCTTTTGTCTCCCTTTCTTACCCAAACATGTTTGCATATGATATAAAACTGCACAGTACTTACTTTTCTCACCTAAAAATGTATGATTATATTTTGAATATAGAGCCAACAGGACTTTCTGAAAGATTGCATTAAAGGTATTAAGAAGGAGAAACATGAAGTGTGATTTTAAGTCACCGGAAGAAGCGTGTTGCCTTTGGGATAATTGCTTGTTCAGCATCTTTCTTCCCTGACTTAACGGGAGAGACCATAGCTAGATGGTTCCCATCTACTTCAGTAACCAGTAAATGTTAGAAGCCGCATATTTACTGTTGAATAATGAGTGATTGATAGGATAAATATTGTATACATAAACTAAAAGAGAATTCAAGTAGCAGGATAAAATTTGTTTTCATATATATTTAATGTTTTGAGAAAGTGCTTCTAGGACTTTGGTGAAATAAATATTTGCTCTGCTTATAGAACGTGCTGCAGATACACAGAGAGTATGTTGGTATCTATACTTTAAAAATTTGCTGAAAGTACATACACAAGAATTTTAATAGTAGTTATCTCTTGGGGTTGGGATTATAGATGACTTTTTTTTTGCTTCATTATTTTATGTCTTTTCTGATTTATTTATTATAAACACATTTTTTATATTTTTATTTTATTATTATTATTTTTTAAGAGACAGGGTCTTGCTCCATGGCCCAAGCTGGAGTGCAGTGGCACAATTATGGCTCACTGCAGCCTCCAACTCCTGGGCTCAAGTGAGCCTTCCTCCTCAGCCTTCTGAGTAGCTGGGACTACAGGCGCACACCACTGTGACCAGTGACCAGTTAATTTTTTAATTGTTTTGTAGGGATAGGATCTCACTATGTTTCCCAGGCTGGTCTTGAACTCCTGGTCTCAAGAGATACACTCACTTTGTCCTCCCAAAGTGTTGGGGTTACAGGCATGAGCCACCACACTGGGCCTCTACTGTAGACACATCTTTATAAAATTAGGAAGAAGTGAAAAAAAAAAATAAGGGATGTGATCCCTTATGTGAAATTTTGTTTTTCCTAAGTTGAAAAATGATAGAACAATGTGTAATGTGTACAAGTGACAACAAAATAAAGGAGAGTTTCACTACTTCTTAAGATAAACCCTGGAGCAGACTACCTGAAAATATTAGGAAATTTTCACTTTAGAGATGCGTGAGATCGGGCAGCCAGAAAATGACACAGCAAGGAAGGACTCCTGTCATTTGATGACACTCATAGTCTGTCAGGGCATTAATCAGGGTATAGAAATATAACATCTGTCACAAATTCTGTGAGATGTTCTTGCTGATTTCTTCTATATACAGTGTTATTTTGACATTCTGTATATAAAATATGGCACTTTTTATCCATGATCAGATTTTCAAAATGATATCTGTGCCAGTGACCTACATTTTTGTCTCACTTGACAATGACTTGGGGCTCTTTCCCTATTAGATCATATAGGGAATGTCTACCTCATTCTCTTTTTTGCCATTTTCATGGTACGATTTATATTATATAATAGGGATGTGCTATAATTTATCTGGTGTCTTCCATATTGGTAGACAAATATATTTGTCCTCATTTTTTACTATTACTTAGAACGCTGTAATTAATGCCGCAAATATTGCTCAAATGTAATTTCTTTACGATAGTTTCCTAGTATTGGAATTGTTGAATTAAATAGTATATGTACTTGAAATTTATTCATTACTTCATTCAAACATGCAACAAATTTTATGAAACATTTACTCCTACGTCAGACATGGTTTTAGAATTAGAGATTTAGTCATGAACAAATTAAACCGAATTCCTGTACTTTTGCAGCTTAAATACCAGTGGCAAAACCAGACAATCAATAAGTAAACGAGTATATTTTTGTGAGTATGTGTGTATATAAAATATGAAAAGAGAGATACAGCAGCATAGCATCAAATAGTGATGAGTTCTCTGAAAAAAAAAAACAGCAGGGTTTGGGAATGAAGGACAACGTGGCTGCTGTCAGTTAGGGTGCTCAGAGATGGCCAATGTGAAAAGATTTGACAGAGGTCTGGATATAATGAAAGAATCTGAATTTCTGGGGTGGGGTGTTCCACGTGAGGTTCTAAGGCAGAATCATCCTTGCTGTGCTCAGGGATGAGTATCTGGAGTGCAATGGGCAGTGGAAGAGGATTGGGGATCCCAGTGGAGATGTAGTCAAAGGCTGGTAGGAAATACCAGTGGAGAGGAAGGTGGGATAGTAGAAACGTTGGATTTTACTCTAAGAATGATCAGAACT
This sequence comes from Homo sapiens, assembly GCF_000001405.40. Taxonomy (NCBI): domain Eukaryota; kingdom Metazoa; phylum Chordata; class Mammalia; order Primates; family Hominidae; genus Homo; species Homo sapiens. The sequence continues at coordinate 82,074,402 of NC_000010.11, forward strand.
CATTGGATTGTTTTGAGCCGAAATGTGACATGATCTCATTTGTATTTAAAATATAATTTTGGTTGCTTTTTTGAAAAAATAGACTATAACACAGCAGTATTGGAAGCAGAAATCTCATTGGAGAGGCTACCATAGCAGGCTAGACAAAAGATAAGAGTGCCTTGGAGTAATTGTTCTAAACACTTTGGGAGGCCCAGGTGGGAGGAACTCTTGAAGCCAGGAGTTTGAGACCAGCCTGAGGTACATAGCAAGACTCTCTCTCTACAAACAAAGTTTTAAAAAAAGATTAGCTGGGCATAGTAGTGTGTGCCTGTAGTCTTAGCTACTTAGGAGGCGGAAGCAAGAGGATCTCTTGAGCCCAGGAATTGGAGGCTGCAGTGAGCTGCAATCCTGTCATTGTACTTCAGCCTGGGAGACAGAGCTAGACCCTGTCCCCTCCCACACCAAAAACTAAAAATCATTTAAAATGTTCATAAATTCAGCCACATTGTCCTCCAATATGACTTTATCAAACCTGTCTTTTGCCAGCAGTATATGAAATTCTCCTTCCCAAATCCTCAAAAGCAGTGGGTCTCCATCACTTTTTTTGTGCTCGGCATCATACTTGGCGTAGAGTTGGCCTTTGATCATTATCTGTTGAATCGATGAATGAATTTAAGTGTCACTATTTTGATGCTTAGCGATATAAACTTGTTTTGATTTGCATGGTTTGAACTTCAAGATCTTTTCTTACACTGCTTAGAAACTTGTTTTTCTTCATGAAATACCTGTTCATGACATTTATTTATTTTGCTCTTAGATTTTCTTATGTATATGTTGGACTTCTTGATGTTTTCCAGGTATTATAACTTTGTTATGTGTTGTGTATGTGGCAGTATGTGGTTTTTGTAGACTTTATTTTTGTGTCTTTGATAGTACCAAGTTGTAGATTTTGATGGATACATTTTATACATTTTTGGTTTTGTGATCATTTTGGGAAAGTTAGCAGTCTTTCATATCCAATATTTTATTCTCACTATTTGGTTATATACAGATAGAAAAATGAAGATTTAGCATGTTTAAGAAATTTAAGGACAAACAAGTTCTGTGAATCTCATGGTCAGCCCTTTCTCCAAAGGGTTGATTTTTCAGGTGTGCTTCATCATGTAATATGAAAAAACAGAAAGTAGTGTGACTGGGGAGAATGGAAGGATAGTATATGAAGCATGATTACAATTTTATTTAATATTAAAAACTACCTTATAGCTAGATGTATGGATGATTTTTTATTTTCCTTATACGTTCTGTAATTTCCATTTTTTCGAAGTGTATGCTGTGTGTGTGAGAGTGTGTGTCTGTGTGTGTAATGAGACATTAAAGTGGCCCTAGTCCAGCAGGAAATGACATGTCTGGGGCAACAGGGTAGCAAAACTTCAGATAAGGAAATCTGAAATGAACAGATGCCCAGGCTTGAACAGAGAGTAGAATTAAGTGGTTTTTCATTGGAATTATGGAGGGAGAATGAAATTTCTGAAAATCATAATGGAATGGGAGGAAAAAAAGTAAACATAGTTAAAAAAAAAAACGATCATTTAAAGAAGACTAGGAAATGAGTAAAAAGACTGAGGGAGGAAGGGGAATTCTAAGTGAAACGATAGGGGTCCATATCACATTGCATCCTGTTAAAGCTGTGTCAAAAGTGTATGTTTCTTGGCCAATGGAGTACTGGATATGGAAGACATCTTCTAGTTAGGGCAGCAATACATGACAGACATCGATAATCAGTCAGAGCCCTCCTTCACTTCTTTGCTAAGTCTTCACAGTGCAGGTCTTAAGTAAAATGTGTCAGGGTTGATGCTCAAACATAAACTGTGTCCCGCGTAACTGTAGTTGCACGCCCTCATTGTGAATATAAGTAAGACAGAGAAAGATCTTGTCCTCAGTCGTCCAGCTCTGATTATATCTACCTTTACCAAGTACATTTCACTATGATTATTTTGGTGCTCATTATCCATTTGATTTCTCCTTGGATGATTACTTTGTGGAGCAACAGAAAGAGCATTTGTAGGATGACTCAGGAATAAACCTGTTGATATAGTTTGGTTGCTTGTTTCCGTCAAATCTCATGTTGAAATGTTTCCCCAATGTTGGAGGTGGGCCTAATGGGAGGTGTTTGTATCAGGGGGGTGGGTGGATTCCCCATGAATGGCTTGGTGCCATACCCATGGTATGAGTGAGTTCTAGCTCTGGCAGTTCACAGGAGAGCTCCTTGTTTAAAGGTGTCTGGCACCTCCTCTTCTCTCTCTCTTGCTCCCTCTGTTCCCATGTGACATGCCAGCTCCCCCTTTACCTTCTGCCATAAGTGGAAACTTCCTGAGGCTCTCATGAGAAGCAGACGCTGACACTGTGCTTCTCATATAGCCTGCAGAACCGTCAGTCAAGCAAACCTCTTTTCTTAATAAATTATCCAGTCTCAGGTATTCCTCTATAGCAAGGCAAATTAACCAGTATACCTGCATTGAGTTGCCTCCAGGATGACTGGCCTATGTGTCCTTGATTGCTTCATCTGTAAAAAGGCATGTTGATACTGGACTTACTGGGTAGATAAATCCCCATTGTTTTTTGATCTATGCTTCTATGATTCTTATGAGACTGCAACCCTAGAATAAAATTTTGGCAAAATGATAGCAAATAACACAGCCATTTATAATGGAAAACTAGAGAAATTTCCATTTAATAAGTCAAAATATGATTTTAGAGCCAGCATGAACACACATCAGCCATTTTTCACTTCTGTAATAATATTAATGTCTACATTTATTTGCTGTATAGAAAATAGTGCTCATTGCACATTAGTTTTTTGAGATTCAGGAAAAACAAATCATCAGCACTCTTTGACACTTAATCCATCTCAATGTCATTATATCTTTGAATTAAGTTATTAATTACCCTTAATTAAATTCATTTTAAATGGTGGTGCTTTCATTCCTAAGTGCTTATTTTGTAATTCCTGGAAAAGTCATAAATTCCACTCAGTTTAACAAATATTAAAATCATTTCATGCAAGGTATAGTTCTAGATATTTTAGGTAACCACTAATTTCATATCCCTTGGGGTAAAAAAATAAACATGCTTCCATCTCTTGTAACTATAACTTCTGTTAGAGCTTTGCTCTTGGCTTATACTTTCTGGAAGAAGTAGGGGTTGGCACAGGAATGGGAGAGGAAATGATCTCAATGATTAAAAGAAGGATTTGACCAATTCCTAAGGGCAAGCAAACATCTTGAAGTTTAAAGAAATCTCATACACGTCTTTCTATAGGGAGCATTAGATGATGGATAATGGGCTGTGTTGCCAACATAACTTTTACATTAGATGGTGTAATTAATTTTTCATGATTTTGTTTATTGAGACTATGTATTTAGAATGAAATTATATCAGAAATAACCTAGTGCAAGGAATTATTCAAGGCCAAACTTAAGTTCTAATATGTTTGGTATCTAGCGGCCTCCAGGCATAGCAGGTATACAGCTAAGAGGCATGGAGCAATTTCAGTTTCTTTAGGCGGCTTTTCTCTCAATTATTTCTCTTACTTTGTCTTTGAGAGACGCAAGCAATCTCCAGTTGGGCCCTTGGGACAAGGCATGGTGGCCAATATGCTAAATGGCAGCTGATCCATACACTGTTTCTTTCTCTCTGTCTCTGTCTCTCTAAATACAAAAAAAAAGTTGAAAATTAAAAAAAAATTTTTTTTAATTATTCTATTTACCTACTCTTGTTATGTAAGTGTGGTATGTGTATTACCTATTGGCTTCACTTTTAGGTCATGGAGGACAATGATCTACATCCTAATAGGTGGTTTTCCAGTTTTCCTCAGAGTAGGAAAGATTGTCTAGGAAAAATGAAAAATAGGAGATGAAGGTGAATGCTAACTCACTGCTCTTTGTGGAGAGTGCTCTACACATTATCATTATTATTGTTATTTTTCGAGACAGAATCTTGCTCTGTCACCCAGGCTGGAGTGCAGTGGCACGATCTCGGCTCACTGCAAGCTCCGCCTCCCGCGTTCATGCCATTCTCCTGCCTCAGCCTCCCGAGTAGCTGGGACTACAGGCACCCGCCACCACACCCGGCTAATTTTTTGTGTTTTTAGTAGAGACAGGGTTTCACCGTGTTAGCCAGGATGGTCTCGATCTCATGACCTCGTGATCCGACCGCCTTGGCCTCCCAAAGTGCTGGGATTACAGGTATACACCTTATTTAAAGCCACAGGAGATGAGAAAGAAGTGATGGTCTATTCCCAAAACCTTAACAATTATTTCTCCTGAAGGCATAATGCATCTTTAAGTGCTAATATTTTTTAAACTGCGATAGAAGTATTTCATGATGCGAAACAAATGCTGTCTAATGGTGTGGGGCTCATAAGTATTTTGCAGAAATTAAGTTGCACAGAACATCCCAGGCATTTCCTGTAGTAGCCACAAACAGGTGATTAGGTTGCCTGGGGAAAGGACATAGCAAAGGCTTTGGTTGGTGACTTCCTTGAGTTGCCTGGATTTTGCAAACAGTGGTGCACTCATCAAATTTTTACTGCAGATGTGTGTATATGTGTGTTTGTGTATATGTGTTGATAAAACGTGTTGTATTAATTAATGAATTCTTTATGAATAATAGACTTTATTTTTATTTTTTATTTTTTTTTTTGAGATGGAGTTCCACTCTTTCGCGATCTCGGCTCACTGCAACCTCCGCCTCCCGGGTTCAAGTGATTCTTCTGCCTCAGCCTCCCGAATAGCTGGGATTACAGGTGCCTGCCACAACGCCCAGCTAATTTTTCTATTTTTAGTAGAGGTGGAGTTTCACCAGGTTGGCCAGGCTGGTCTCGAACTCCAGGTGATCCACCCGCCTCAGCCTCCCAAAGTGCTGGGATTACAGGCATGAGCCACTGTGCCTGGCCTAGACTTTATATTTAAGAGCAGTTTTAGGTTCACAGCAAAATTGAAAGGAAGGTACAGAGATTTCCCATATACCTACTGCCCCCACACATGCACCACCTTCCACATTATCAATATCCTCCACCAAAGGGATACATTTGTTATTATTATTACCCAGAATCCATAGTTGACATTAGGGTTCACTCTAGATTTTGTATATTCTGTGGGTTTTAACAAATATGTAACGACATGCACCCACCAATACAGAATAGTTTCATTGCCGTAAAAATTCTCTGTGCTCTGTCTATTCATCCCTCTCCACCCCCAAACCCCTGGCAATCACTGGTCTTTTTACTGTCTCCATGCATTTGCCTTTTCTAGGAAGTCAGAGTTGGATTTCTACAGTACCTAGAGTTTTAAAATTGGCTTCTTTCACTTAGCAATATGCATTTAAATTTCCTTCATATCTTTTCATGGCTTGATAGAATGCTGAATAATATTCTGTTGCCTGGATGTACCACCAGATATAGGTATCCTATATCTGGATTCCGACTGAAGGACATCTTGGTTGCTTCCAAGTTTTGGGAACTATGAATAAAGATTTATTTGGTTATGAATCAAGCTGCTATAAATAAAGAAATCAAGCTGTGTTTTATGTTTCAATTTCAAAAAATCTAACAATTTCATAGAAAAATCTGCATGCCTTTTTCTTTGGAGAAATCACAAAAGAACAGTCAGTACCGGGAGGTCTGCAAGGCAATCCACAGAGGCTGTTGAAGAATGGCATGGACTTTGCGTGGGCCTGAGTTCTGCATTCACAGTGGCTCCCATCCCAGTCCCCATCCTCATACATCCTGCTCACACACACTTGACTCTTCATGACACCTCCTTATACTATAAGCATTTGAGTTTGCATCTCCTAGGGAGATGGGAACTAATTGGTTAATTGTTATTTTAAGGGTTTTGCCTTGCCTTCAACAACCCTGGGTTCTTGGTGCATAGTTTGCCCTTTATCTCTTCAGTTAATGTTGCTAAGTCAAGATTTTTATTTGGCTGGGGGGACGGAAAGGAATGAGGGTATGAATCTATATTATTATAGATAGATTGCATTATATGACCCCATATATGACCCCAGCATCTTAGACCCTCCTTCTGCCACCTTCCCATGTGGCAGAGCCAAGACCCTTCTGCAGCTGGTCCTCACTTCTCTTTTTCCCTCTTGCCACATGCTCCTACAGCCTGGTGATCCCTGTCCCATCTCTTGCCAAATGTTTTGCTCTGAGCTAAGTGAGTAACTAAGTTTCAAAGGAAGCTACCATATTTAATACAGTGCATGAGGAAGACCAATTTCTGATTTTTGCTTAGCCACAGTTTTCTTTTTCTTTTTTTTGTTTTAACCTTTAAAAAAAATGTGGTAAAATATATATAACATTTATCATTTAACCATTCAAAAGTATGGTTTAACCATTCACGAGAGGCATTAGATACATTCACAATACTGTGCAAACATCACCACTATCTATACCCAAAACTTTTTCATCATCAACAAAATCTCTATCCATTAAACAATAAGTCCCTCTTCTTTCTTCCTTCCCTCCCCAACATCCCCAGCCTTGGTAACCTGTATTCTACTTTCTGTCTCTATGAATTAGGATGCTTTGAGTGTTCTGGGATCTGGTCCTCACTGTCAGCTAAACTCTCCAAGTAATCGTCACTGCAATATTATTTTTGTTTTGTTTTGTTTTTCTGGAGTTCTGAGAGTGAGGAATCCATTATCAATGACCTATAGCATGAACATTTTTGTGGGGGAATGTGTGTAAAGGTATATAGACATGAATATTTGATGATCTGACATCCCACGGTTTAAACCTAGATGGGGCTTCTGTAAATATGAACTCAAGGCTTTAGGAGCCTCCCAAGATCTGACATTCCAAGAGTAGAGAAGAATGGAGAGACACCCATGATGGAATTATCTGTTGCAGACAAGAACACAAAGATAGCTTTCTTCATTTAGAACTAACTTTGAGGACTTTACATAGACAGAAATGTTCTGTCTCCTTTTTTTTTTCCAGTTACAGGGAATGTTTTCCACTTGTGGTCCCTAAAAATGCAGAAATATCATAGGGAGTGAAAGTTACCTTGTTTCTTTAACTGCCGCAATCTGGCCTCACTCAACATGTAGCAAATGCCAGAATGATAGATGATAGATTATAGTGATGTCGCCCTAGGTTAACAGTCTTTCTAGGTAAGGTACTTCTATATCTGAATTGAAAAGTAGGGCAGCTATTGCCTCAGATTTGGGATTTTAATTACATTGTTTCCACGTATGATATTCTTTCTAAGAATGTCTCTAGCACTTAGTCTCTGCTTTATACAATCTACCAGTTAATTATGTATTTATGATGTAAGTAATTTGGAGGCACAGAGAAAGGCAGTGGGGCCATTTCTCCGCATGGTCTTGGTCTGGGTGCATGTGCCACATGATTCACATTATTTACATAAGGAATGGCTTTACTGATTTGAACTGGCTGAGTTTGCTTGCTTTTAAAACTGCAACAAGCCAGGTGCTGTGCCATGCACCTATAGTCCCAAATGCTAGAGAGGCTGAGGTAGGAGGATGGCTTGAGTCCAGGCGTTTTGAGTCTAGCCTGGGCGACATAGCTTGAGCCCATATCTAAAACCAAAAATAAGTGATAATAAATAAATAAATTCAATTTAGATTTGGTTTCCAAGGTACAACTGTCAAACATCTTTTTAAATGCAAATATTTCATGTTTCATTTTAACCTAAGGTTGTGTCATCCATTTAAAATACTTTACAGAAATTGGCCTAACTGCTTATGTGTACTGCTTGATTTGCTTTCCTCTTTGTTGTTGTAAGAAAAATGTCCCACTCACTAGTCTGGATTACTCTGTTGCAAAATTAAGGGATCTGAAACATCTCAAGCTTTAAAAATGTTTGAGCATAGCTTCTCACTAAAATAATGAGCCCTGTGTATCTATTGCACCGTAATCTCTAATATTTAAAATGATAAAGGACTTCTAGTTCAAACCCATTATTTTCAATTGAGAAAATTAAAGTCCACTGAGGTGTAGTCAATTGCCAGCTAGTGAGTCAAGGAAGTGTTAAGGTTATCGTCTTATGCTAGATAGAGCCTGGGAAAGGAGGTGGGTCTTGGAAATTTGCGGTTCATAACAGGGTTGTCTGTGGGGCTGGCAGAAAGGTAGAATATGACTCTGTGGATAGAGATCAGGGAAAAAATAAAGACTGCAGATTTGGGGCTGTATCCATGTATAGGAAACATGAGCCTGACAAAAAATAGAGATGCAGAATGAGGGAAGGTGTGGTCACTTCTGTAAAAATCTTTCAAACACTGATTTTTGAACAATTCATTGCTCTTCTGCAGTTGAAAGAATCCCAAAGGAATGACACCTGAATGGAAAACCTCCAAAGATCCCTTCTGGTTGGAGGCCCTGGGTCTCCAATTGACCCTTCAAATATATTATTCTGTTCTTTTGTGCATTTCTCTTTTTATTGCAAAGAAAGAAAATTAAAACTATCATGAATGTATTTAAAAATTTTATTAGTCTGAACATGACCACTTTATTGATTACTTTATTGATTATGACATTCTTTTTTTTTTTCAGACGGGGTCTTGCTTTGTCACCAGGCTAGGGTGCAGTGGTACAATCATAGCTCACACTGTCTCTCAAATTCCTGGACTCAAGCGATCCTCCCTCCATAGCCTCCCAAAGTACTGGGATTACGAGTGTGAGCCACCATACCTGGCTGATTATGAAACTCTTAAATACCACTCACACACATGACTTAAGGCTATTTTTGATGATGTACAGTAGCACTGTATCCATTCCTGGACACCAGTCTTTGAAGAGTGTTTGGCTCTGTCCCATATATACCTATTGATACAATGTTTTGAGTGTTTATTTATGATATAAATATATTTATATTTTTATAAGTAATATACATAATTGCTATAATATTAAGTATCATGTACATTATAGGGAGGAGTCTCAGAAGTAATTTAAGGAAGATGTATTTGTTTGTCTCCAGCCTGAGTGGTGCAACTACATGAGCTTACAGCATTCCTTGAATTACAGATGGCTCATACCTGGGGATACAGATTAGCCTTTCCTCCTGTGAACTGAAGGCTTCCATTTGTCTAGGTACTGGGTAGAGATAATTTTAGTGTCTCTTTGAGGAATATTATCTTTAGCAAACTTGTTTTCTCTCTTACAACCTCTCCTTTACACCATTTGTTAATTTTTTTTTTTTTTTTTTTGAGACAGAGTTTCGCTCTTGTCCAGGCTGGAGTCCAATGGTGCGATCTCGGCCCACCACAACCTCCACCTCCTAGGTTCGAGTGATTCTCCTCCCTCAGCCTCCCGAGTAGCTGGGATTACAGGCATGCGCCACCATGCCCGGCTAATGTTTTTTTTTGTTTTTTTTGTTTTTTGCATTTTTAATAGAGATGGGGTTTCGCTGTGTTGGTCAGGCTGGTCTCAAACTCCCGACCTCAGGTGATCCACCTGCCTTGGCCTCCCAAAGTGCTGGGATTACAGGCCTCAGCCACTGTGCCTGGACCATTTGTTAATTTAAAATGACACATTTATGGCTGGGTGTGGTGGCTCACTCCTGTAATCACAGCACTTCGGGAGGCTGAGGCGGGCGGATTATCTGAGGTTGGGAGTTCGAGACCAGCCTGGCCAACATGGCGAAATCCCATCTCTACTAAAAATACAAAAATTAGCTGGGTGTGGTGGCGTGTGCCTGTAGTCCCAGCTACTCAGGAGGCTGAGGCAGGAGAATTGCTTGAACCTGGGAGGCAGAGGTTGCAGTGAGCCGAGATTGCGCCACTGCACTCCATCCAGGGTGACAGAGCCAGACTCAGTCTCAAAAACAAAAAAGACACATTTATAATACTAGTAAGGGCACATTCAATATTTAAAAAGAATCTCATACAGTTTTCATTTTTGCATATTACTTTTCAGTATATTCATTAGAGTCCTAAAATTTATACTATCTTGTATTGTACTCTTTTGACTTCAGAATGTCATCAAAAAATTTGCTTCTGTTAACAATATAATCCTACTTTCAATTGCTTTTTAATAATCTTGGGTACTTTGAGACTGTAATTTAGCTAGTCTCCAAATTTGGGACATATATGAGATTTTTTTTTTTTTTTGCCATCATAGAGAACTCTACATGAATCAGGTTTCTGTCTTTATCCTTCATGCTTCTGTTGCACTATTTCCTTGGTGTGACATGCCGTAGTCAAGAAGTAGAAGCATGTATTCTTGTCATTATAATTTCCTATTTTTCTGTGAACATTTTGAAATACTGGGTTGGTGTAGCTCTTAGCTGTCACTGTCAAATCACCCCCAGTGTGAGCCCACACGTTCAAGATTATTTCTCTTTTTCTCATTTCAACTCTGAGTTAGTTCCAGGATATGGTTGTATCTCTGCAAGATTGTCAGCTCCACTGAGTGCCTCCACTCACATAGATGAGTGGGGTCCCTGCCCAGTGCTTCAGGTAGCAGTTCTTCTCTACACAATCAATGATGTTACCACTGCATGAAGCTCCCTGAAAGTGTGCGTATGGAGTAGTCCTCGCACACAGGCTGAAAGACATATCTAGCTATGTTGGGCAACTAGTCCCCTCAGAAAATGATTGCCTCAGGAACAAATATTTAAGTTGAATTGTTAAGTGTGGCTGCTACCATCGTCAATGGAAGAGAACCAAAGCACTCGCTATTACAAAGGGGCCTCTAGTGGCCAAAACTCTCAGCTCTGAACGTTGTTCCTTTGTCCTCCTCTCTACATCCTCCTGAGAGAATGGTACTTCAAGATTTCATAGGGCAAATCTCCAACTTCCTTTTGGAAAATACATGCTTTACCAGGACGCATCATCTGTCCACGTGAGGAACAATGGAGGAGACCATAATACTCTAAATCTGGAATATGTCAGTTGACCTGAATGCCATGGGGAGATTCAGCTGACCATATAGGATAAGCAGGGTGTTGTGGTCTCTTTTGTGTTGCTATAATAGAATTTCTGAGACTGAGTAATTCATAAAGAACAGATTTATTTATATTGTTCTGGGGGCTGAGAAATCCAAGGTCAAGGGGCTCACATCTGGTGAGGGCCTTCGTGTGAGGGCATCACCCCATGGTGGAAGGACAGAGGGCAAGCAACCATGCATGAGAGAGAGAAGAAAAGGGGGACAGACTCACACTTTTATTAGGAACCCCCTTCTTTGAAAACCAGCCTACTCCCATGGTCAAGACATTAACCCATTCACCTCTTTTTTTTTTCTTTTTGAGATGGAGTTTCATTCTTGTTGCCCAGGCTGGAGTGCAATGGTGCAGTCTTGGCTCACTGCAACCTTCGCCTTCTGGGTTCAAGCAATTCTCCTACCTCAGCCTCCCAAGTAACCAGGATTACAGGTGCCTGCCATCAGGCCCGGCTAATTTTTTTGTATTTTTAGTAGAGGCTGGGTTTCACCATGTTGGCCAGGCTAGTCTCGAACTCTGACCTCAGGTGATCTGCCCGCCTAAGCCTCCCAAAATACTGGGCTTACAGGCATGAGCCACCGCTCCTGACCATCCCATTTACCTCTTAGGGGTCCCACCTCTTAGCACTGTTGCACTGGGGATTAAATATTCAACAAATGACCTTTTAAAAGGACACGTTCAAACCACAGCACAATGGCACTACAAGTTAGTTTCCATTTACAAATGAGCACTGAAACCAATAAGATTTGGGTAACTGATATGGAATCACAAAAAAAAATCTAACCTGAAGCAATTTTACAGTAAGTTGGTTATACTGTCAACTAGTGTGACAGTAATAGAATTGGAGTCTCAGGAGAAAGAATATCTACAATGAGTTCATCTCTAGGTATTTTGAGCTTTTCTTTTTGAACTTCCTCTACGAGAGTTTTAAAGTAAGTTATCCATATTTTACAGAAAACTTCAAGGATTCTAGCTGGAAGGAGAAGAAATTATCAAGTTTCTAAATATCAGATCTTACTTTATTCACTATTTGAAGTGATGGAAATCAGATTGCAGTTCAATTTTTTTTTTTAAAGACTGTACTCCTCTCCTCTGCCAAAGCTCATGCAAAGCCAGGAAAACAAATATTGATTTTTATTTTCTCTCATCTCTTTCAGTCCAACCTGGTTTTCAGTAGTATTGAAATCAGATGTACTTCATATTGATCTGGGTCTTGAACCAGTATAATCCCTGATTAACACAATTGAAATAACCATCATCAAGGTGGTTCTAAAGATAGAGAGGAAACAGTGTGGACGCAATACATTTCTGCTGTTTGCTGTGGCTTCCTGGTTCTGTGAATTATGCATTGGATCTTGGGCAGGAAAAAATACAGCCAGATCCTGCCATCATTTTATGAAATTAGGGTGAGATATTTGGAAGTAGCACGCCCATCACCAACACTGTCAAATCATTAGTCCATCTGAATGTCTGGTAAATTTAGGTAGAAATATTTGGTGTTATCATTGCCTTCCAATCTCGTCTATCTCAAATGCTGTATCAATGTTGACTCTGACAATAGTAAGGGAAGGCTGGACAATCTGGAAGGATGGGTAAGGCTTAGCACAGGTGAACAGCTGTATATATAACCAGAAAGGCAGGGCTATCAATTTGAGTCCTCTGTCTATAAGAGAGGGTGAACTTTACAAGATAAATATGCCTTATCCTCAGCTGAGCACAGAAGACCCATTAAAGCAAAAAGGTAACTCAGGCAATAATCATCATGGCTTGGTAAAAAGCAGTTCTGATAGACTTAATCTTTAAGGCAGAAGGAGGACAGGCTGGTGGTTTTATGAGAAAGTAATGAATCCTTTTGACAATTGTATTAAGACTTTATGGACATAAGACCTAAGTCAGAGTTTTAAAAATGGTTCTCAGAGACACTGTTTTGGCTTTGTTCTTAGTCACATCCCTTCATTCAGGTTAGCTATCTGCCTGCCCTGCAAAGCCCGCCTCTTTTGTGAAGCTTTTCCTGACCACACCAGTATCTGCTGATTTATCATCTTCTCTAATCTCTGAACTAACTGTTCAGAGGGATGAACACAGTAAATACTAATACATGCCGTATACACTCCACCCTCTCCCGGCCTCTCAAGTTGTTTGTAAACTCTATTTTATAGTTACAGTCCACCCAACAGTACAGGTGGACTCAGCACCATGTGTGTTTAATTTGTTGCCCCACTTTGCCAGATCCATACAACATCAATGGTATCATATTTATCATTGCACTGCCCATTGTCTGTAGTATTCTGCAGTGCACATAGTACAAAACATTACAGCTGAATTTTAAAGAATGATTTAACATTCACCAGGGAAATTATGAAATACAATCCATATGAAATATGTAATCCTTAGCATTAGGACAGCTTCTTTCTAAACCCTGACTTGTCCTCACCTCTCAAAGGTCATGTGTAATCCTAGCCACTCTCAAATGTTTTTGTCCACTCCAGGTCTCAGCCTATTAGCACATCCTAGTTCCCTGGCCATGTTGATTGGTTCAGAACTAGTTACAGTATCCAATTAAAAACAATGAGATTTTTTTCTTGAGGTATCTGAGAAAAAGATGTTCACATTTCCCGGCTGGATCCGAAACCTCAGAGTAGGTAGGGTCTGGAGAGCCTGTCCTCAACTTGCTCTTCCCCAATGCCTGGGATGAAACAGAGTAAAGTGAAGGAGAGAAACTGATTCATGATGATTACATGGTGCATTCTACTTCCCTGTAGGATGTAGAGAAAGACGATTCCCTACTTTCCTACTTCTCAAGTTATATGGGTCAATTGATTTCTTTTTCTTTTACATCTTTTTCTTTTCTCCTTCCTTTCTTCCTTCTTAATTTCCTGCCTTCAAAGCTTCTTTCATTTCTTTTTTTATTTAACTTAAGCCTACTTGGACTGTGATTTCTCTCACTTTTCACTAAGAGTACTACTCAATACCCAACTTGAGTTGATCCTGTTTCTCTTTGGTACAAGAGTACAATTGTAGTTTATTCATATGTTCATAGTTGGACAAATTAATGTGTCTACAGCCCAACGGCAAACTATTGATATAAATGCAGTATCTCCTGTTTTTCTAAATGGTGTCCAGATTTGTAGAGATACATTTGTCTATGTTGTGAGAATTGAAAGCCTTTCATGCATAACTTGAATGCTCTGTTTATGTAAGTAATTTGGCATTTCTTTTCATGTGCAAAGGGTTCCTTTGATTTTGAATGCACAGGCTGTGACACTAAGCAGAGAAGATGAGAATCAGACCGGGGAAGAATAAATTTCCTTTGTATATGACTATACAAAGTTTTAAAACTTTATCTCCCTCAGCTCGGTATTTAATAGACATTGAAGACAGGAAGTAGGGAGCTGTGACTGGCTGTACTCGACTTTTCCCCAATACAGTTATTCAATTTCTATATATGCTACCCTGACAGGCTTATTTCAATTTTAGTCATAAACAAAATTTACGTTTTGACTTGAAGTGGGTCAAAATCAGTGTCAGCATTTTGTTTTGTAATATGCCCTTCACATCGTTGTACCTTTGCCATAATCAGCCAGAGTCAGAGAAAATTATCATCCCTCCCTAGTGGGTGCTCAACTTAAAAACCAGCAGAGAAGATTTTTTTTTTTGTAAAGAATCAACAAAGTATGAAAATGAAATGTCAAATGATGAAAATTATATGATTCAGGTTTGGGATGCTGGATCTTTATTTTCAGGGACTTATTTCAAATCCAGGTACAAGTCTACAGTTAGTTTTAGGAATTTTAGTGAGCAATGGGCAAATAAGTTAATGCTAGTAAAAGATTGCCATATTACTGCATTTTGTTATTGAAATGCTAATTTATAAGTAGCAAATTAGCATTTAAAAAGACACAATTTTTGTTAAAATAGTGGCCTTTCTTACATTTTGTATTAGAGCTTTACTTTTTTTCTGCTTTAAGCTTCACAATGCAGTGGCAGCTTGTTTCACTTGAGCGTTCTTATTGATTATAACTGCTGGTATGAGGCAATCTGTGCTTCCCTTGTGTTCTGCCTAACAGAGGTTATTTCTTTGCATGATATGGAGATGGATATGGAAGAATCTGGGCTGTCAGGGAAGGAAGTGAGAGCCAGAGAGGAGAAAGCAGCCAGGGGGTGGAGTGGTGAGCCTAATTCCCAGCTCTTAGACAATGAGATAGCTAGGAGCAAACCTCTGTTCATTCTTGCCTGACAGTTGTCATGGCAACTCTCAATCCAGTGACCTCTTTTAGTTCTCTAATAAACGAGTTGAATATTTGTTAAGTTTTTGGTTTGTTTGTTTTTAGTATCTAATTCTCTTTGAGATGATCAAGCTGCAAACTGATTCCATACCTTATTGATTCAGACTTTGTAAAAAGATATTATGCAAAGTTGAAGATGTGTAGATTTAAACATTTCAATCTTTCTTTTAAGAGAATTTTCTCCACAATAGGAAGGCATGTGGGCATTTTATGGTCTTAGCCAACATAAGCATTACACTTATGAAATTGGTCTAGCCTTCTAGGCTCCTGCCCCAGTGAGGTCCCTCCTCAGTTCTGTGATCATAGGCAAGTCAGTTCCCTGCCCCAGCTCTTTGCCCTCTTCCATGGCATGGTGGGGTTGAAATTGACAGAGTCACATTTCCCTTCTGACTTTAAAGCTTTCTGACTCTGAATACATAATATATAAGTGGGTTTCTCTTTTTGACATTACATACTGTAGTGAAGTACAGTCCTGTAACAGGCATCTGCAGACTACAGACGCACGTTACCATGCAGATTGCTATTAATGTACAGTTCTCTCCATTTAATTTGCTGTGGTTTCCAAGACTACTATATTTTTTATTGAGAATACTAATAGCCTGTGTGAGGTATGAAATGAATACATAGTTTCAATAGGACTGGGTTAGTGACTGTTGGAGAAAATATCTTGAATTAGAGTACACTGTTTTATTGTTTATAGCTATCAGAAAGTTCTCCTGTGAGGACAATAATATAATGATCTCTATCCTACTATGTGCTACACTTTATTTAATTGGTTGAGATGAACATATGTTGATTAAGAATAAATTTTTAAAATTTTACTAAATTTGAGAAAAGCAACAAAGTATGAGGAAAACATATATGCCAACAACTGAAAATAAAAAGCAGGTGATTCCATTGTTTTTTAATGAAGCACCAGTCATTTCCGTTGGGATTAGAATCCATTGTGCTAGGAAAGTATTTACAGCATGATGCTGCCATATTTGAATAAAGAAGGGACGAGTGGATTGCCTAAATGGGGTTGAAACCATGTCAGGAGCACATTACAACATAAACCAGAACTCAGCTGAGTATCCAATAATGTTAATGGGGGCAAAACAAGACTTATTACCATTTGAACTCTATATCTGAAATGGGAATCCGATAACATGGCAGAAATAACGTTTGGTTTGGGACTAAAAACATCCTAGAGTGTATCTAAGGGCTTAAGTATTCATGAATTTTGTTTGTACACTTACATTATGTGTTGTGTTAGAAAAGGCAGAAAAAGGTAGTGCTTCATGTTTGGTTGCAAAGACTCCTGCCTCAGCCTTGTTACACAGGAGCATAACGGTGCAGTGTGAAGCATTTAAGACAAAAACGTTTTAGAGTCAGATCTGAGTAAAATCTGAGATTTCACACTTCCAGCAGTGTAACCTAAGACTAGTTTGTTTTTTTTTTAATTTCTCCTGAGGCAAAATTTTATTTTTTTCTCTTTCTTCCATTTCATTGTAACCTTTTAAAAATTGTGATAAGATATACATAATATTTTTCAGTGCAACCATTCAAACATGTGGCTTATCCATTGATCGGTAGTCTTAGATACATTCACAATGTCGCGTAACTATTATCACTGTCTATGTCCCCGATTTTCCTATCATCTCCAAAAACAACTTTGTAACCATGAAAGAATAACTTCTCCTTCTCCTCCTCCTCATGCCACCTGCAGCCATGGTAACCTCTATTGTACTTTCTGTCTCTATGAATTTGCCTGTTTTAGGTAGCTCATGTAAGTGTAATCATATATTTGTCCTTCAGTGTCTGGTGTATTTCACTAAGCATGGTTTCAAGGTCCATTCATGTTCTAGCATTTTTCAAGATTTCCTTCCTTTTTAAGGCTGAATTGGATTCCATTGCATGCATATACCACACTTTATCTGTTCATCTGCTAAATAGTTGATTTGGTTGCCTCTGTCCCTTGGCTGTTGTGAATAATGCTCCCAAGACCAGCTGTACAAACAGATATTCGAGTCTCTGATTTCAATTTTGTGTGTATATGCCAAAAAATTGAATTGCTGAGTCATATGGTAATTCTATTTTTAGTGTTTTTGAGGAACTACCATGCTGTTTCCACAGCAGCTGCGCCATTCCTGCCAACAATGCATAGGTGTTCTAATTTCTCCACGTTCTCACCGACACTTGTGATTTTGTGTTTTTATTTTAAATAATAACCATCTTAATGGATGTGAAACAGTAAGTTGGATTTGCACTTTCCCAGTAGTCAATTATGTTGAGTGTCCCCTCATGCACCTATTAGTCATCAATATATCTTACTTGGAGAAATGGTGTGAAAGGGTATACAGTTTTCAAGGTTGAAACATGACAATAATTAGGATGATTGGACAATTTAGTGAAGAAAAAATATTATTACTATAGTTAACATTTTTTTGGCACTTATTCCGTGCCAGGCTGTTACTAATGCTATAAGTGCATGATCTCAATCAACTTTTACTATGAAGTTGAAGACTATGAAGGTGCCTTTATTATGATTTCTATTGTTCACTTAAAGACATGGCATCTCAGGGTCAACAAGTATCTTGGCTTATGTTGCACAGCTTGTAAGTGGCAGAAACCTGATGCAAATTAGTTCTGCCTGACTTCAAAGCATTTGGCTGTTAACTGCTATGCCATGTTGTCTAATGCGTGGCTTGTTGCCTAATAGCCTGTCAATATATGTTAAAAATCCATTATCCCCACCCTCAACTGAACCCACACACACACACGCACACACACATGCACATGCACATTCCTCAACTTTCAAGCACCATTTTCATCCTAGTATAAAATGATACCCACCCACCCCCTACCCAAGATTCCCAATCTTCAGTCATCTGTCATGTAATTTCATTCATGTGCCTTGGAGAGGATTCCCTAAATTTATTTCCACAAAGAAGCATATCTTAATTAGGTCTGTTGGGAGATCATTCTACATGGGTCTCTTGTATTTCTGTTTCTATAGCAGGAGAAGCACTATGAAATTTGTTTGGATTATATGTTGAAGGACATTTGTAGAGCAAATAACCTTGGAGAAGGAGATACTATGTCTTTCTTCCAGTATATTAAAGACAAGGTTTCCATTTGGGGAAAAAGTCAGGGCATTTTCTTGCAGCCCAGTGTAAAAGATCCAGGTTCTTGAAGATTGGAATTCCTCAGCTTTGACACAAACTACTAAATTGGGCAGCATCTGCCTGGACTGCTTGGTGCTGTTGCTGCCATGGAACATAAAGGGGTGAGGGAAACTGGTGCAAACATGAAGTGCATATTACTTGTCTTTTTTCTTTCCATGTGCAATGAAGGCCCAGAAGTCTTGGGTCTTCTGCCAGCATTCATGAAACTGTGGCAGGGTCACCTGTTAGCTTGCAAGTGAGATAAAGCCTTAGACTCATTACTCTTCTTGTCAAGGTCTAAGATTTATTAGTAGCCTTCCATGCACACCAGGCAGCATGCTTTACCTATATCATTTCATTCATGCACTCTGAGATATTTACTGTTATCATCCTCATTATTCAGATAAGGACACAATGCCTAAACAATTAACTTACTAGGCTGTCTGATACAATGTGTTCCTCATAAGTCAAATGTAGATCCCACAGCAACTTGGTATATAGCATCTGATAACTTGAACTAAACATACCATTTATCTGGCTAATACACATGAAGGTGTAGACTCATGTACGCAAACATTTTGTACCCTTCTACCATTGTGAATCTTGCACCTCAGGTGCCAATCTCTTTAACTTGGGTTATGAGAAATTGTAGTTAAAGTTGGCAGTAATTAATAATTTTGAGCTTATTCCAGTTTAATTAACCATATATATGTAATTACTGGGGCATTATGAAAGACTTCTGACATTGAGGAAATAGATATGAAAGCAGCATCCATACGCACTTGATTCTCACTTGAATTACACTCATTGCTCATATGCCAGGTGGGGTGTCTCACAACAACCCACTTCT
The DNA here is from genome assembly GCF_000001405.40 of Homo sapiens. Taxonomy (NCBI): domain Eukaryota; kingdom Metazoa; phylum Chordata; class Mammalia; order Primates; family Hominidae; genus Homo; species Homo sapiens. Next base: position 82,093,630 of record NC_000010.11, read on the forward strand.
TGTATCAAATAATGCATGTGTTAGAATCCATAAAACATGAATTTCTAATCATGTAGGCCACCTCTTCACTGGAGAATCTTCTCTCTAAGCTTTAGGCTTTATATTTCAATAGAACATTTTAATACATATCTAGATGATTAAATATAAGCCTTCCATGACAGTGTCCAGGTGGGAGAACCTGTCAGGGGAGATAATTTGGGAGTGGAGAACCAATATTTTTGGCAGCCACCACTGACATACCCTAACTTGTCTTGTCAACTGTCCTTGGTTTGAGACACTGAGTGTGTGGAAATTGCTTTAATGCCTTTGAAATGTCCAAAACGCCAAATATTACTTAAAATGTAAAGCCTCTTCATAGTTAACAAAGAGACATTAACCTTCTGCTTTGTAAACTCCATGTAAATTACGACACAAATGTAAGGTATTATTATACTCACATTTATTGACAATGAAACCTTTTACTAGGTGCTTTTGGTTCATATTGAAAGAGACTTTGAGAGCCATTAATGGATATTAAAGAGGTGTAATTTAAATATGTCTACATAATAAAAGCATGAAATTAGAAGTATATTATCTTTTTATGAGATTTGTATGTTTGTGATGGCCTTATATTGAATTGCAGTCACTAATCATCAGAGAAATGCAAATTAAAACCATCATGAGACACTGTCTTACAGCATCAGAATGACTATTATTAAAAAGTCAAAATATAACAGATGCCGATGAGCATGCGCAAAATAGGAACACTTGTGCACTGTTGCTGGAAATGTAAATTAGCACAATCTCTATGGTAAAAAGTATGACGATTTCTCAGAGAACTAGAAATAGATCTACCTTTTGATCTAGCAGTTCCCCTGCTGGGTATCTACCCAAAGGAAAAGAAATTGCTATATCAAAAAGAAACCTGCATTTGTATGTTTATCACAATAGGAAAAGGAAAAGTACAGAATCAATCTAAGTGTCCATCAATGGATGGTTGGATAAAGAAAATGTGATGTGTGTATATATATCTGTCACATTTCATGGCGAGATATATATATCACATTTCATGGTGTATGTATATATTCAGCCATTAAAACAGGGTGAAATCATGTTTCTTGCAGCAACATATTAATAGATGGGACTAGAGGTCATTATCTTAAGTGAAACAACTCAGAAACAGAAAGTCAAATACTGCATGTTCTCACATATAAGTGGACCTAAATAATGTGTAGAAATGGACATACAGTATGGAATAATAGACACTGGAGACTCAGAAGGGTGAGAGGGAGTTGAGGGCTGTGAAATTACTTAATGGTTACAATGCACATTATTTGGGGGATAGTTACACTAAAAGCCCTGACTTGACCCCTATGCAATATATTCATGTGGCATAACTGGACTTGTGCCCCATAAATTTATACAATTTTTTTTAAATGAAAAACCTGGAGCTTTCCCTTGGCTCCTTTTCCTGGAAGCTTTCTCACATCCTACTGTGTGAAATTTGGATGCTTTTGGGAACCTGAAGATAAAGGCTATAGCTACACCTTAAGGATGCCCAAGCTGTTTCTGTAAGGAGACTGAGCTTGTGAGGTTTTTAATAGAAAAATGCGAACTAACCTAGCAGCCCTGGACTTCATGTTTCTGTACTTTTACATGGGAGAAAAATAAGCTTTCTATCTTGCTTAAGCCAAAAAAAAAAAATGAGAGAAGCATTTTATTTGTAAAGATGGTGTTGGGGAGCTTGACTGCAATATTCTGTTCACCTAATCACTAATAAAATAAATGCAGGAAAGCTAAAAGTCCACATGAGTATCACTAGCATCAGCTAAATCAAGAAGGCTGGGGAGGGGCAGAAAACAATGCTATACATTTCAACAATTGCTGATCAGGGAAACAGAGACAAGGTTGAGGCATCAATCCTATTCCTGGCCCGATTGCTCAAGTTCACTAAAGTCTGAGAATTCTCACCGATATTCCCAAATCTGAAGTGAAGTGAAATCAGTGATATCCCAAGCTGACCTGAACTAGCTGCTGGGAAAGGACCAGTGAAGTGGGAAACAGGAACCAGAGGCTAATTCTCTGTCAATGCATCAGGTTCTCCAGGGCTAACAGGAATAGTGTTAAAACTTAACTCACTCTTCCCTCTCTGGGAATGAGCTAAATCTCAATACTAAGCAGAGTGAATCCTGCACAGCAAATTAAACAAATTCTCAAAAAGGGAGCAGAGCCAAGGTATGCCAGCCATGAATGAATTGACAGTAAACTGAGCACTTCAACGTGGGGAATCTTCAAGAAATGTTCAGCCTTCAAAATGTAGCTGGTAGGGGAAAACAAATAAGTCTCATATGCAAATAAGTAGAAAGAGAGACTCACAGAAACTGACCTGCATAATGTCATGAAAGTGAAAATCTGGACAGCATTGGCAAGACGAAAAGGAACAGAATGGAAACTATAATCGCAATTCGAGCCAGTAGGTAGGTGGGCAGGAACAAATTGATGGAACATAGCATGGAATCTGTAAGAAAATGTAACCTAAGACGGAAGAAAATTTTCGATACTTTATGCTAAAAAATACATGAACATGGCTGGGCACAGTGGCTCATGCCTGTAATCCCAGCACTTTGGGAGGCTGAGGTGGGCAGATCATGAGGTCAAGAGATTGAGACCATCTGCGCCAACATGGTGAAACCCCATCTCTACTAAAAATACAACAAATTAGCTGGGCATGGTGGCACATGCCTGTAGTCCCAGCTACTTCGGAGGCTGAGGCAGGAGGATCGCTTGAACCTGGGAGGTAGAGGTTGCAGTGAGCCGAGATTGCACTCCTGCACTCCAGCCTGGTGACAGAGCGAGAGTCTCAAAAAACGAACAAACAAAAAAAAAACAACAACAACCACAAAAAAAACATGAACATGAGTTAAACTGGAGCCCCGTCACTCACCAAAAAGAACACAACAAGAAAAAGAGATGAACAAAGAGAGTGAGAAACTTGAACAAAAAATATTGAAGACTAAGATAATACAATCTCAAAATGACTAAGTAAAATTGACAAGCATATAGAACAAATATAACTGAAAATTGACTTATTGATATGGAAGACAGGCATATATAACCACAGCCAATGAACATACAAGAAAAATATAAAGCAAAGAGAGAAAAGATGATAGTTTTTCAGAGCTTAGAAAGATAAGCCAACATAATAATCCATTGCCTATGAGACAGAAAAGCCTACACATGAAATTGCAAAAGGTATTAAAATATAATAGAATAAGCCCTGATTTATCCCAAGATAATGCCTAGTTAGATTATTTTCTTTGCACAGATTTAAAAGAAAAAATTTAAAATTTACATACAGTAAAATTCCCTTTTTGAGGTGCAGTTTTCTGAGTTTTGACAAATGCATAGAGTAACTACCACCACGATTAGATACAGAACAATTTCCTTATCCCAAAATTTCTTTTGTGTTACCCATTTATAGTTAATTCCTCTCTTTTTTCAATCTCTGGCAACTGTGTCGCTATAATTTTGTTACCTGTTCCTATAATTTTGGCTTTTTCAGAATGTCATATGAATGAAAATGAACACTCTTGAGTCTGAATTCTTTCACTTAGCATAATGTATTTGAGAATCATCCTTTCATTTATTAATATGTCTTCATATTTTTGCTCAGTGATATTCAATTGTATCTTTGTTTCATCATTTGTTTATCTATTCCCTTATTGAAAGACGTTTATGTTATTTTCAGTTTCCAGATGGTTACACACACACACACACACACACACACACTCCCAGATACATATATATATATCTGTAATATATATATATATATATCTGTAATATATATATCTGTAATATATATATGTGATATGTATCTGTAATATATATGTTAGATACAGATATATGTTATATATATCTGTGATATATATATATAGGCACACCCATATATATAAAGCTCTTATGCACATTAGCATATGGCTTTTGGGTGAACATACAGTTTGATTTATCTTAGGTAAAGACCTAGGAGTGGAATTGCTGGGTCATATGATACATGCATGTTTAACTTCATAAGAAACTGCCATACTATTTTGCATTATCACCAGCAGTGAGTGAGAGTTCTTGTTGTGCCACATTCCTGACAGCATTTGGTAGTATCAGATGTTTTTGTTTGTTTTTTAAAAATTGTAGCCATTCTAATACATGTGTAGTAGTATGTTGTGGTTTTAATTTACATTTGCCTAATGAATAATGGTGTTGAACATATGTTTGTGATTATTTGCCACCAGTATATATTCTTTGATAAAGTCTCTGTTTGGGTCCACTTTTAATCGGGTCATTTGTTTCCTTATCATTTCATTTTGAAAGTAGTTATTGTTAAGTCTGAAACCGAGAAGGATCTGAGACCTTATCCTATTGTGAGCTAACAATGTAGTCTGCCACATATATACACACACACACACACACACACACACACACACATCATATATATGTCTCATATATAGATGTCTCATATATAGATGCCTCATGTCTCATATATAGATGTCATGTATGTATATGTCATATATATATATAAAGCTCTTATGCACATTAGCATACTGGCTTTTGGGTGAACATACACAGACATATAGATGTCATCTATATATATATGTCATATATAGATGTCATATATATATGTCATTTATATATATGTCATATATATAGATATAGATGTCATCTATATATATGACATATATATAGATGACATCTATATGACATCTGTATATGAGAAATGAGGCTTTCTGGAGCAGAAAAGCAAACAACTTATTGCTCTTGGCAAAAACAGCCAGAGCAGCATCTTAGTGCTGCTCCTTGAGCCCCCTTGGGGTGGTGTAGTGAGAATCACAGGTCTTTCTCCACATACAATCTGTGTTAGAGGGTACAGTGTAGGAGAAGACGATGGATACACTATCTCTAGCTTCCAAGGCATTTTCTATTCAAATAGAGCCCCTGCTCAAGAAACCTGTACTGTGCAGAAATATGAAAATCTTCAATGAGAATTTTCTCCCAGTAAGCATATATTCTGGATATGGTTCTTTTTTGTTGTTGTTAGATATGTGATTTGCAAGTATTTTTCCCAATTTGTGGTTTGTCTTATTTATTTATTTAGATAGCATCTTTTTTTGTTTTTGTTTTTGAGGCGGAGTCCTGTTCTGTCATCCAGGCTGGAGCGCAGTGGTGCGATCTCGGCTCACTGCAAGCTCCACCTCCTGGGTTCACACCATTCTCCTGCCTCAGCCTCCCGAGTAGCTGGGACTGCAGGTGCCCGCCACCATGCCTGGCTAATTTTTTTGGTATTTTTAGTAGAGATGGGGTTTCACCGTGTTAGCCAGGATGGTCTCGATCTCCTGACCTCGTGATCTGCCCGCATTGACCTCCCAAAGTGCTGGGATTACAGGCGTGAGCCACCACACCTGGCCTAGGTAGCATCTTGACAGAGCAAAGATTTTAATTTTATAAATTATGATTTCTTTTTTCTTTCATGGATTATGGTTTTGCTGTTCTGTATAAAAAAAACTTTGCCTAACTTACTGTAGGTCATGAAGATTTTCTCTTTTTTCTCAAGTTTTATAATTGTACATTTTACACTTACAACTATCAAAAATTTTGAGTTAATATTTTTATAAAACATAAAATTTGGTTAGGATTCACTTTTTTGATAACTGATTGTTCCACCAAAATTTCTTGAATTGCCTGTGTAGGAAAAATCACTTGAACATATATATGTGGGTTTCTTTCTGGAGCCTATTCAATTGCATTGATCCATTTATCAACACTTTTTCCAATTCCACATTGTCTTAATATGGTAGCTTTTACTATGGTAGCTTTTACTAGGTAGTCTTGAAACCAGGTATTGTGAGTCCACAAACTTTGCTGTTTGTTTTCAAAGTTGTTTTGGCTATTCTCATTCCCTTGACTTTCTGTCAAAATTTTAGAATAAACTTGTTGGTATTTACAATAAACTCTACTGGTACCTTGAGGTATTGTGTAGACTCTATTGATCAATTTTTAGGAACATTGATATCTTATTAATATTGTCTCTAAGCTGGGCACTGTGGCTCACATCTCTAATATCAACACTTTGGGAGACTGAAGAGGGAGGATTGCTTGAGCCCAGGAGTTTGAGATCAGCATGGCAAGACTTCCTCTCTACAAAAATGTAAAACAAAAACAAAAACAAAAAAACAACTTAGCTGGTCCCAGTGCCACATGCCTATACTCCTAGATGCTTGGAAGTTTGATGGGGGAGGGTTGCTTGAGCCCAGGAGTTCAAGTATGCAGTGAGCTGTGATTCCATCATGGTACTCCAGTTAGGTGACAGAACAATACCCTGTCTCTAATATATATATATATATAATTTAAAAAAACAAGTAAAATATTGTCTCCTGTTCTATGAAGATGGAATACCTCTTTATTTAATTAGGTCTTCTTTAATTTCTGTCCTCAATATTTTGTCACTTCCAGAATTTTTGCACATTTTTTATTTGATACACTAGAATTCAATTTTAATGGAATAGTAAATGTTGCTTATCTTTTATTTCCAATATTTCATTGAAAACATATTGAAATATGACTTTTTTGGATTCTATGGCTTTGCTATATTACCATATTACTTCCAGGAGCTTTTTTGTGGATGCCTTTGAACTTCCTATGTAGACAATGGTGTCTTCTATTAATAGGAACAATGTTCTTTCTATCTTCCAAGTCTTTGTATATCTCCCTCTTCCTTTTTTTCAGCCTTTTATTGCACTGGCTGGGATGTTTATTATAATGTTGAATACGATGATGTATAATGGACTTTCTTCCTTTGTTCTTGAACTTAGGAGAAATCATTCAGTCTTTCAACTTTAAATATAACAGTAGTCTAAGCATTTGTTTTCTTTTGGTGTGAGTTGCATGATCAGGTTAAGGAAGTTCCCATCTATTTTAGTGTTCTGAGATTTAATCTGTCAAATCTGTCAGTTTTTTGTATATATTTTGATATGGTCCTGATTTAACTTAGTCTCTTACTATGGTGATTGATTGATTTTAAAATATTAAGTCATCTTTGTGTTACCAGGATAAACTATACTTGGTAATATATTTGGTATTACCATTTATATATAGTGCTGTTTTTGGTTTTCTAATATTTTTTGTGCATTTTTGTGTCTGTGTTCAACAGGAATATTGGCCTGTCATTTTCTTTTACTAAAATGCCTTTGTCCTTTTTTATTAGGAAGATTTTTTTTGGCCTCATAAAATTGAGAAGTGTCTTAGAAGAGAATATGTGGAATTGTTATCATTTGTTCTTTAAATTGTTAGAATTCTCCAGTGAAATGATCGAGGTCTGGAGTTTTATTTGTTGGAAAGTTTTTAACACACATTAGTTCTTTAGTAGATATAGAACTCTTCAGGTTATCTGTTCTTGAGTAAGTTTTGCTAATTTGCCTCACTCAAGGAATTGGCACATTTCCTCTATAGACACAGACAGATTTGTATTATTCTCTTATTATTTTTCTTTTAATGTCCATAAGGTCTCAGTGGTGTTCCTTTTGTATTCTTGATACTGATATTTGTGATAACTCTCTTTGTTTTGGTCAATCTGTCTAGAGTTTCATCAACTTTATTATTTTTCAGTTAAAGCAGCTTTTGATTTAATTGATTTTCTCTTTTGCTTTTCAGTTTTCTATTTCAGTAATATCAACTTATTATTGACACCATTGATATGTTTATTATGTATTTCCTTCTGCTTTCTTTAGGCCTAAATTGCTCCTCATTTTCTAGTTTCTTATGACAGTAGCTTAGGTTATTTATTTTAGGGCTTTCTTATTTTCTAATATGACTCAATGCTGTAAATTTTCTGCAAATATTAATTTAGCTGTCCCACATATCCTGATAGATTTTATTTTTATTTATATTTAGATCAAAATACTTTATAGTTCATTTTGGTTGTCTTACTTAACCCATTAATTATTTAGGGATATGTTAGCTTCTAAATCATTGTGGAATCACCAATGATTTTTATGTAATTGATTTACAGTTCAACTCTGTTATGCTAAGAGATCATACTTTGTATGACTTTAATTATTTTAAATTTGCTAAGGGTTGTTTAATAAGCAAGGAAAGGGTCTATCTTGGAGAATATTTCATGGTTACTTGAAAATGTCTATTACTGTTGGATTATTTTCTAAATGCATTTACATCAGTTTGGTCGATACTGTGGTTCAAGTCTCCCATATTGTTGCTGATTTTCTGTATGTTGTATGGATTAATGAGAGAGAAGTTTTGAAATCTTAAAGAATAATTTGGGACTTTTCCATATCTCCTTCCAGTTCTATCAGTTTTTGTCTTATTTTACAGTTCTGTATATATGTGTGCGTATATATATATATATACGCACACATATATATGCACATATAAATGTAATGTGTGTGTATATATGTGTGTATACATATATATATGTGTATTCATATATATATATGTGTATTCATATATATATATGTGTATTCATATATATATATATATATATATATATATATATATGAATGTAATGTCTTCTTGGGTAATTGAGCCTTTTATTCATCAAGTAATGGTCCTCAATATCCCTAGGAATTTTCCTGTTTTATAGTGAAATTTGTCTGATATTGATATAGCCATCCCATCATTCTTTGGTGTTTATATAGTTTAACTTTCTCCTTTATTTTACTTTTAGCCTGTCCATGTTATTATATTTAAAGTGCATTTCTTGAAGTCATTGCATAGTAGGGCCTTTTTTTAATGAAATCTGACAATCCATTTTGTTATTTGTTGTTGTTAGATCATTTATATACAGTAATTATTGACATGGTTTTATTTAGGTTTAGCTTTTTTATTAGTTAGATTTTTTTTCCCTCCATTTTTGTTCCAGTGTTCCCACTTTCCTGCTTTTTGGGGGCATTATTTGAATATTTTTATCATGATATTTTAATTATTGGCCTTTTGGGATATATATTTTATATTATACCCACACAAATAAATATACACACACAGTATGTGTAGGTGTTTATATGATGTTACTCTACATAAATATACATTTCTAACTTTTCACAGTCTACTTAAAAGTTAATACCTTTTTTTACTGCAAACAAAATCGGGATGCCTTCCAACTGTATAGATTTTTAATTTTCCCCTTTATCTTACTATTGTAATAAATATTCTATCTATATACATTGAAAACTCCACCATATATTTTAATTTTAACTTTCACACTAATGCACATTAAAATCAGAGAAAAAGTCTACTATATTATTCGATATTTACCATTCTGTTGTTCTGCCTTCATTTTGGAAGTTTGAGGCTTCTCACTAATATTATTTTTCTTTCATCTGAAGTACTTCCGTCAGCATTTCTTTCAGAACATATTTATTCTTGAGGAATTATTTCAGACTATCTTCATCTGAGAATATCTTTATTTTATCTTCCTTCTTAAAGAATATTTTTATTGGGCTTAGTATTCTGGGCTGGTCTTTTCTTCAGCACTTTAAGTATATTGTTTTATGATCTTCCTGCCTCCATAGTTTCTGATGAAAAATTCAGAGTCATGATTTTTTCATTCCTTTATATGTAATGTGCCATATTTTTGTGGCTCTTTTCAGACATTTGGTTATGAGGTTTCTATTCTTTGTATAGAATCTATTCTTTGTATAGAATTGGTAGATTCAAAGTAATTTTGGGTTGAGTTCTGAACATATTGTGACATTATGGATCTTTCAAAAATCCTCTGAATGATATTGCTTGTTTTAAAAGCAAGCAGTCAACTTAGGTTTGGACTGTGAGTGTTGTCTCACCTTCTGTGGGTGATTGATCCAATGTCAGTTATGTTTTAAAACCTTTGTTACTCTATATTTGACTGTCCTAAAAATACATCACTCTTCTGTTATTCTGGAACTTAGGTGGTATTTTATATCATATTTTTACTTTCAAAGCCTTTGACATGCTTCTTTGGGTCTATTACATGCGTGTTCTACTTAGCAGTGGCTCAGAAATTTTGTTGGTTTATACACAGAATTAAGCAATTCTTGTCTCTAGCTCTCTCTGCTCCAAGATTCACCTCAAAGTCTGCAGCTCTCAAGGGCCTCCTCCAGTTCTGAGGCCAGAGAGATGGGTTTTTTCCTTTGGCTTTTACGTGCCTGGGCTGCCACTACCATTATCATCACAGGAGTGCATTCTGCCACCGGGAAAGACAAGGTGAGAAAAAAGAAGAGGGAAAAGAAACAAACAAACAAATAAATAAGTAGGGATTCCCCCATACTCTATGGTTCATGGGGGCCCTCTTTCCCAGCGATCTACTAGAAAGATTTTTCTCGTGCCTTTTTTTTTTTTTAATTTTTATACCTGCTGTATGTGTTTTAATTAGTCCACCCTCATGTCAAAGTTGGGTGTTAAGGAAATAATTTAAAAAGTGCACTTTCCCTCATACTGTTTGTTCTTCAATTTTTTTGACTTTTGTCTCTCATTTGCCTGCCAATATTTACTTTTCAGAAGTAATTTTCTTTTTGTATTTCTGTTCAGAGATTTTAGCCATAATCAGTGAAAGAGGTTGGCAATAGCAGGCTTATAGCATTTTGGCCACAGCAGAAGCCCAGGTTAGGATATTAAACTTATAAATTAAAGAATGTGTTAGCTATACAGCCATGAGATGCTGGCCGCTTAATAGGAGAATACTGGGCCAGCTCCTGTCATCTCTATTTCAACAGATTGTTCTTAAAAAGGAGAAAATATCTACACATATCAGAGGAAAAGAGAGTGGGATACAAAATAATATATATTTGGCCAAGCTGTCATTTAGGAAGCAGGGAGACAATATTTGTAAAATTTGTAAAAAAATCAAGAACTTTGTTGCCACTATCCGTCTTCAGTAAAACTGTTCTTAGACAAGATAAAGCAATATGAGGAACTCTGAAATGTTATAGGAATGTGCTGTGTGAAAAAGGTAGTCAGCATTTAAAACATCAATAAAGAAATACAGAATGAACAATTGTGGATATTATGGTTATGAAATAAAATAAAGCATAAATCTTAACATTGTTTATTGAAGATAGTATGTGTTATACGATTGCAATTTAAAAAATATGTGTATCAATCTCTCCATTAATATACCTGTCTGTATTTAAATTTGCATGTGCATATACACATGTAAATTTATACACATGTAAATTCACACATACTACACACACAGATGTTAGAATTGAAGCTTTATAGTGTTGATTATGAAAAGGAATTATTGCTTTTATAATCACATAAAACACTTTAATATCAAACACTTAACTTTATTTGAGCTGGTGGTTTTACATGTTTCTTTTGAGGACACATTTATATTTAAATCTGATGCTTAACCTGTAAACATGAAGGGTTTCATATGGAAAAATAAACAGGTTATGGTTGTAGATAATAGAGGAATATTTAGGAATATACAATATTTTCTGAGGTTATAGATAATATTTCACTAGAAAAACGTGAATTCAATGGAAATAGAATCTTTGTTATTAAAAAGTATTGGAGCTATTCTATGGCTATGGAATACAGATTATGATGGGCTCATCAATTTTCATTATAGAATTGGCAGATTCAAGTGCAGCAAAGTTTGAACATAATCAAAGGTGCACTGAGTTCATCTGACTGCCTCATTACCTGTTTGCATCCTGTACAAGTAGAAAGCCCGATATTGTAAGCTCTCAATTAACTGAATAGGGTTTGTTCGCTAGCATCAGGTATTATAAATTTCTCTCTAACTTGAGTTTGAGTAGTATCAGAGGTAGTGTGGAGTAAGTGATGTCCTCCCTGTATCTTCCCATTCTTCTAGGATAGGGGACCCTGTCTGGCATTGCAGCATTAATATATGTACATGGAATAAGTTGTTGAAAGATAAAAGTAGATACTTTGCTACTTTGTGTAGAGGAGGTTCTTGTTATTTGTATTGTGTTTGACATTTATTTGTTTGTTTGCTTGTTGATGCCCTACGTCATCCTCTGAATGATTTGAGGCATCTGTAATGAATACATACACTATCTGTCCATTTTTCTTCTCTCTGTTTCACATAATCTTACAATTTGAGATATTATCAATAAATTACATGTCAATATGAAAATAGACATAAATGATAACAATCAAGAACACTGAGATAACAGGGATAAAGGAATGTCAAAAACATTGACAATTAGGAAGAAATAGAAACATCCAGAATTTCCACGAATACTGCAGATATGACGCAGTAAAATCCAAGACACACTGCTCGGTATGCAAAGCCTTATGTCATATTTAATGGCTTTTCAGTTGAGTGATGGTGACTGATTCCATGCATCCATGACCTGAGGGATATTTATTACAACAAAGATCTGTTCTTCTGGGGTCTAGTTATTTGGGCATCTGATTTAGTGAGCACATCTATTTCCAATACTTTCCACTAACCTTGTATTGACAGTTTTAGACCTGCTGAGTCCAAGGCTGACATAGACCAACACTGCAGCCTAGTTAGCAAGGCTTATCTAAGGCAACTGAGTGTTGAACAGAGGGGCCTGACCTTTGGTGACAATTGAAATGTAAGGTCAGTCAGAGACTCAGTACTGAACATTAAGCCAAATGAACCAGCTGTGGAAAGGGTTAGGCTCAAGCTGTGAAACCAGGAGTTCCTCCACCAGTGTTGCTGAGCCAAGGGCATAGATGCTAGAAGTTAGACCCAGGAGGGTTCACCACAAGGCCACAGTTCATATCAACTAATTGTATACTCTTAAATACAAATCAGGCTTATAAACCCAGGATCCCTTTCAGAATCTCAATCACCTAAGGTTAGGCTAGTTGTTAAGCTCATTTGCTCTAGATTTTTATTTTGAAAATGCATAATTAGACTTTTTTTTTTTTTTTGAGATGGAGTCTCATTCTGTCACCTAGGCTGGAGTAAAGTTGCACAATCTTGGCTCACTGCAACCTCCGCCTCCTGGGTTCAAGTGATTCTCCTGCCTCAGCCTCCCAAGTAGCTGGGACTGCAGGCGCGCACCACCATGCCCAGCTAATTTTTGTATTTTGGGTAGAGACAGGTTTTCTCCATGTTGGCCAGGCTGGTCTCGAACTCCTGACCTCAAATGATCCGCCTGCCTCGGCCTCCAAAAGTACTGGGATTTACAGGTGCGAGCCACTGCACCTGGCTTAATTAGACATTTTTTATCCAGGGATCTACAAAAATATTTCTGAGAAGATGCACTCTGCTATAAGGTATCTTGCAAAAAGAGAAATGAAAACAATCTTTGCCCAAAATGTTACACAGTTAGATTTAATATAGTCCCATTTGGTGTAGCAATTTATTTCCTTCTCCACTTAAAGAACCCCTGTAAGCTAGGCATTGTCTAAGGCATGAGAGGAGCTAGACATGGGCACATTATTCAAAGCCATACAAAACATTAATACAGGTGGATAATCTATTATTTGAAATATTTTGGGACCAGAAGTGTTTCAGATTTTGGATTCTTTTTCTCAGATTTTGGAATGCTTGCATTACACTTACTGGTTAACCATCCCAAATCTGAAAATCCCTAATCCAAAATACTCCAATGAACATTTCCTTTTAATCTCATGTCGGCATTCAAAATGTTTTAAATTTTGGAAACTTGGATTTTGGATTTTTAGATTAGGATGATTCAACTTGTACCAGACTGAATAGAAAATGTAGCAACATGCTAAGGAAGTCATAAATAGGATAAATAAGATTTAGTTGTGACCATAAATGGAAGATGTTGCTGATAAGGACCATGAAATCTGGAAGATCCAACTTTTGCGTAAATAGCACATGTCACTTAGAAAGCATGTATTATATGCCAATTTCTGGGTACTCTCCACAGACTATTTTACTTATTTTAAAAAAAATTTTACAGGTGGAAAAACAGAAAAAAATTAATTTTCCCAATATATAACAAAACTTCAGTGATGTAGCAGAACTAGGATTCAGATGCACAGCTTGAGGAAGTTGCATCAGGCTTCTTAGATACTTGTAGAAAATAAACTGTATGATCATTACACTATTGTTGCACGGGGCTAGTCATTTAGTAGGAGCTTAATACATTTCTCTTTTTCTGTAAAGCCATCTTTCTGTCTTTGTTGAATGAATGAGTGTAACAATCACTGTGGAAAATAGAGGAGGGAGTCAAAAAAAGAAAAATGTATGTTTAAAAAACAGAGTAAACAGTTGAGTTTACATAGCTTCCTTTTTTTCTCCCCTAAACTGTGGAAATATCCAGGTAAGGTTGGTAAGTAAGAGAAGCTGAAAAACGAAAACATCAAGGGTACTTATTAAATGAGGGTGATGGCCAGCTTATCCATTGCCACGGCTGACGCAGCCGTCTGTGAGGTCTACTTTGGCAATTTGCTCTTTAGAGATCTTTTCTGTGCATGGGCTTCCTGCCTGAGGTTGGATCTGTTCAACATGGCCTTGCCACTTAAATGTGACACCAAGCCATCTGATATGCCCAGATGAAGAACGACAAAGTAATCAGATAAGTTTATAATCTCAATGCACAGTTAGAAAACATCTGGCTATTACAGATGATTTAGACTCATCTATGATATTAATATTGGTCTTCATCCCATGATATTTCCAGGACACAGACAGGGGTATTTTGCAAGCTGTTACTGATCTATTTGCTAATATGTAAACAAATTTTCCTGTGCTCTTCTGGATGATTGTAGCACAGAGAATTGATTTATAGTGTTTTGTCAAGACCTCCAATGTCCTAGATTGAACAAGTGAGTGCTGACTTAGTGTGACTGTACTGGAAGTCTGTGAGGAGCTGGAGATAAATGGAAATGTCACCAGGATGCATGGATGCCTGTCTCTCTGCTACCCTTCACTTCCTCTTTCCTTAGCCATGAAGCTTTGCTAATTAAATTGACCTTCCTTTTTTGATAATCTGAATATAAATATTGACACCATGCTCAGTATTGTGAGACAAACAAGGAGGATTTAGGCTACTAATGTCAATTTCATAAATAATTGATTGCAAAAATAATGAAGATAGTAGTAGTTGTAGTAGTAGAAGTAATTACAGTAGTAGTATTAGCAGCAAGAATAATCCTAGCGTTCATAATAGCTAGCCTGATTGTTGGGTAGGAGATGAGCACTTTGATGTTCCTTACAGAAGGTTTGCTTAGCAATGAGTGAAAGCTCAGGCAGAAGAGTACCATGTGGCCACAGCCTGGATATGGTATATTTATATTTACCCAGAGTGGCCTCTGATCCAATCTCCTTATCCCCAGTTAATTCCTGCTATATGAGCAACATAAATTCACTCTTTTAATAACAAACCTTGGGAGGGCTAACTCTCTGGGCCATTACCCTTCACTAGAATGGAAGCTACCTGTGGACAGGGGCTGGGTTTTATTCACCAGGGTATACCTAGGGGACACCCAGTACAGAGCCTGGCACACAGATGGGATTGATGCACATTTCTTGAATAAAAGAACCAATTATACTAGTCGCTAATGTCAGAAGAATTATGATGTGGTCAACTTATTTCCTGATGTTACCTCCACAACAGCCAAGTTTCCAAGGAATGAGTAGAACATGGGAGATTCCAGGCACAGGGCTCTTGGTCTTAGGGAGCAAGGTTGAGCTACAGGAACATGGTGAGTGATTGAAGAAGGCCACAGGAAAGCCAAACGGGACAATCATCTGGACAAATTAAGTTCCAGATTTTGCAACAATCATGACCATTTATTTAGTCAACACTTTAGTAGGTACAGAAAATACTGCTAAGCGCTCTATCCTATTTTATCTTTCCAGTGAATAGATGAAAGCAGATTATTATTCCAATTTTATAGTTAAAGATTCCAAGGTTTATAGAGGCTTATTGTGTTGCTCTAGGAAACAAAGCTAAAGAATAAGATTGTGTGTGTGTGTGTGTGTGTGTGTGTGTGTGTGTGTGTGTGTATATATATATTTTCAGATCAAATTGATTCCAATGCTCTGAACTTAAAGCACCAGGTTACACTGAGTCATTAGCTAGATATTTATGTTTATACTGTCCATTGTTTCTGACTTTCTCTTCAATTAATAATAATATTAAGTGACCATTTAGTGATTTTCAAACACTGTAACATGTAATTTCCTGAATCTTCGCATTTAATCCTCATAACAAGCCTTCAAATTCAGTACTAGTATCCCCATGCAGCAGGTGCAGAACTAAAGAACACAGTTTCACAGTTTGACCAAGATCGTGCAGCTTGTAAGCAATCAACTTGGCACTTGTGACCTGGCTGTCTGATACTAGAATAAGTGCTCTTCTTAATCACTGTGATTCATTGATTCCTGAATTTAACTAATTTTTGGTGACAATATGCTAGGTAATGGAAAAGCAGTGGTGAAACAACAACAGTCAAATTCCCTTCTCCAAAGACAATACACAAAACAGGTCAAGCATGTCTGTTTGATGGTCATAAGTGCTACAGAGACAAAATTGGGAAAGGGTAAAGGGAGGCTACAATTGGAATACCAGGGCCAGGAATAACCTCGTTTTGCCAGGATAAGAAGGTTACAATTGAGGGAGCCATACAGATATCTATGGTGAGTATATATTGGGCCAAGGGAAAATCAAATAAAAAATCCTTTGGATGAGACTGGGCCTGATGAAGGAAAGAAATGGGTGATCATATGGAGTGAACATGGGTGGGTGGTAGGAGATGATGTTAGAGAGATAACAGGAGACCAGATTGTATAAAATGTTGCCAGCCACTTCAGGATTTGAGCTTTTATGTTGAGTGAGATCAGAAGCCATTGGAGAATCTTATGAGAGGAATAAGACTATCTCATTATTAAAGTGGATAGTGTGTTGTCGACAGAGCAGGGAGAGGTAACAACGGAAACACAGAGACGAGAGACGAGGCTATTCCATGAAATGATGGCTTGGACCAAAGTGGTAAAGGTGTCAGGGAGGAAAGTAGTCAGATATTAATATAGTTTTTTTTTAATAAGTGAGATTTTGTTATGAATTGAATATGGAGTAAGGAAGAAAGAGAGGAGTCAAAGAGCAACTAGAAGGTGAGGAGACTCCAGGGAGAACAGTGTGGGGAGATGAGTAGGTTTATGTCAGATGTCTTTATATCTATTAGATGTCTACTAGACATCCCAGTGGAGGTATCAAAAGGGTAATGGCCTACAGGCATTTGAAATTCAAGGGAGATGTGTGGATCAGAGAGGTAAATATTGAAGTCATCAGAATATAGTTGTTATTGAAAGCCATTAAATCAGGATCACCAGGCAAGTAAGTTTAGATAGAGAAAAGAAAAAAAAAGTGCTGCTTTCAAAGTTACTTTGCTAACAAAGATGTTACCAAAGAGGATTATAGGAATTCTCTGTTGTGCTTTTGCAACTTTTCTGTTGCAAAACTTTTCTGTTGCCTGTAAGAAAAGAGAGCATTCTGTGAGTCTAAAGTTAGTTGAAAATCAAAAATTTTGAAAACATGTTCCCACATGTGGACATACTCCCTTGGGTTGGATCTGGCCTCTTTAGAAGGAAATAAGATACTTGCTTATTTTGGTCTGAACCCCAGACTTTATTCAGAAAGCTTATACTTGAATTATCTTCTTGAACATCTTATCACTTCGTCAGCTTACACTGAGTTTGTGGTCAACTGAGTTCCAAGGCATATTCTAATAATCTCTTCTTAAACCAGGTCTCCCTCATTGTATCTTTCAAAAATGAATTTACTTTTTGACAACCCTGATGATAGATCATACATTATACATAATAAATATTCTTAATTGAGTTTGATACAAACACGACCGAGTGCTTTGGGCTCTGCTTTCAGTGTCATAGCATTTACCAGTTAATTAGCATGCCCTCTATGCTGTTATCTGAGGCTTCCAACATTCTGTCATCTTTTAGATCACTGGAGAAGGTCCAGGGAAGCATAGGTACTCACCCAGAGTCAGCATTTTCATTGACCAAGATCTATCCATGAACTCTTTTTTGCTTTCATCCAGCTGTGAATTTACCTACCACAATTATCCAGCAGCCCACATTTATTCATGATATTATTAAATATATAATGAGGGTCTCTATTAAATTCTTTGATGAAATAAAAACACCATCTGACTATAACATTTCTTAGTCTACCAGCCCAGTAGGCCTATCAAATTATGAAGCTTGTCTTGTCTTGACTAATTTGCAATGAATTTACACTTTACACTGCCTTCTAGTGATCAATGTATTTTGTTATTATAGCACCACAAATCATCTATTTAATAGTCCTTTTCTACTAATCCAATAATATGAGGTTGCTCATGTGAATTATGCAAATATAAGAATGTCTTAGGCTGGGCATGGTGGCTCATGGCTGTAATCCTACTGCTTTGGGAGGCCAAGGCAGGAGGATCACTTGAGACCAGGAGTTTGAGACTATCCTGGGCAATATAACAAGACCCCTGTCACTGTAAAAAAAATAAAAAACAGCTGGGCATGGTGGCACATGCCTGGGGTCCCAGCTACTCAGGAGGCTGGTGCAGGAGAATTGCTTGAGCCCAAAGTTCGAGGCTGCAATAAGCTGTGATCACATCACTACACTCCAGCTTGGGCAACAGAGTGAGACCCTGTCTTAAAAAAGAAAACAAAAGAAAACAAAACACCTTGCCTACCCTTTCTGTTTTCGCTTATTATTATTTTTTTATGAGAAGAAACCTGGTAGACCTAACATAGGGGTCTTCCAGAGAGGTGCATACTGTGAAGTTGTGGGGTTATTCTTTTTTTAGGAAGATGAGGGAACAGGCCTCATAGGAATCAAACAGAAAATGTTACTGCCTTTGTTTCCGATTTTATGGGCAATAGCTGTTTTTGATGGTGTAGTTAAACTCCACAGGAGGCAGTTTAAATGGCAGAATTAAATGTAGTTTGGTGAAAATGTTTATCAAGTATTTTCTTAAACAGTTTATAATTTGCACATTTCTTTTCTAAATGGCGCTTCTTCATTAGTGCAGACTAGAGCTTGCTACAGACTGCTAATGAATTATGACACATCTATTATTCATGGATCTTACAAATTTAGGTGACATTCTGAAGGTCACCCTATGGTTTATAATCCCAAATGATCTTGTTGAAGAAGCTCCATAATGTCACCAACTGTAACCATAGTCACCTGATTTTTGCCAGG